>NC_000023.11:145384696-145687727 GCF_000001405.40 Homo sapiens
TATGCTCTCATAGCTCCATATATATTTTTTGGGTAACATTTTATTCTTATATAATTTCAAATTTACAGGAAAGTTGCAGGAATAGTAGAAGAAAATCCTGCTTTACCCAAATTCTCCAGTTGTTTACCTTTCATCCCATCGTTTTCACTCTCTCTCTCTCTTTCTCCCACTCCTTCCTCTTTTCTTCTCACCCCCTATTATGTAAGAATAAGTTGCATACATGCTCATTTACCTCTAATTATTTGTCTTTTCCCTAGGAAACCTCTTACATAACCACAGTAGAGTTATCAAAGTCGTGGTATTCATACAATATTATTATCTAATTCACAAAAAAAGTTGTAAAATGTCTCAATAATGTCATTTATAACTTTTTAATTTCCTAGTACAGGAGCCAATCAAGAATTGCCAATCAGGCATTGCATTCAGTTGTCATATCTCTTTACTTTCCTTTGGTCTGGAGTAATTTCTCGGCCTTCTTTTTTATTCCTTAATTTTGACTTCTTTGAAGAGTACAGATCAGTTATTTTGTAGAATATTCACCTGTTTTAGTTTGTCAACATTTCCTCATTAAATTCAAGTATTGCATTTGTGGCAGAAATACTCCAGAAGTTAAGGAGTGCCCTTCTCAACACATCATATAAGAAGGTATGAGAACACATGGACACAGGGAGGGGAACATCACACACTGCGGCCTGTCAGGGGGTGGGGGGCTAGGGGAGGGATAGCATTAGGAGAAATACCTAATGTAGATGACGGGTTGATGGGTGCAGCAACTTAAACCACCATGGCACGTGTATACTTATGTAACAAACCTGCACGCTCTGCACATATATCCCAGAACTTAAAGTATAATAATTAAAAAAAGAAAATAACACTAACTTAGCATAAGAGGTCTTGGGTTTAGAAGATGGTACAACAACATCTAGAGACCCAACATGATTATCAAAGACTGAGGAGCTTGCTGAGTGGGCGAGCAAACACATTCTGGGTAGCCCCTGTATTGGGAGGTGAGAAGTCCTATATAAAAGTAATAATTATCTGCATTAATTGATTTGTTGAAAAAAATAAAAATAAAAATAAAATCACTTATTAATGGCCAGAAATAAAAGAAGGTATGATATCTATTTGTCCCTTTAATGGCTAATTTTGGTCACTTGGTGATGGCAGTGTATGCCAATTTTCTCCATTGTAAGATTATTGATTCCTTTGTAATTTATAAGTGGTTTGTGAAGAGCTATGTTGAGATGATATAAATATCCTATTCTCATCTAACTTTCACCAACTATTTTAACATTCATTGACTCCATCATTTCTTATACATTTATTTGTTGACATTCTACTGTGGGGAAAAGCTTTCCCTTCTCCCTCACTTAGTTATCATTTATTGATATGAGTATGGGACTATTAAATCTTATTTTATTCACAGATTACAATCTCTTAAAATCATTATTTATTTTGATGCTTTAATTATCCTAGAACTGACCAATCTCAGAAGTGGCTCCTATGATATAACCCCCATCATTATTGGATACTTAATTACCTTTAGGCACTAAAAAAGCTTATCTTCTACTCCCCCTGGTCCATCCTTGGAATTAACCATTTCTCCAAAATGTCTTGATTCATTTTAGAAGCCAAGATCTCGGTGGTAGGTGTGCTGATCACATTGAGCCTATCTCAGCTGACCAAGTTCATACTATGAGCTTATATTGAAAAAGCCAGTACAAATACATCACAGTTTTCATATACTTTCCCCTATCTATAATTCACTTACTGTAGTCTAGAATACCTAAAAAGTAGCTTAAAATTTCTGACCCATTCTGTTGTGAAAACTCAACCTACCAAACTTCCAAGTAGAATTCACTATTTGCATACAGAGAAACACACATTTGAAATGTACCTGTGACAAATATATGTATACCCATGTATCCAGCATGCCTATCTAGATATAGATTATTTCCAACACCCAAAAGTTTCCTCTTTCTCTCTTGCAATCAGCTGCTGACCTATCGCAATCAACTGCTGCCCTCTCTTGCAATAACTGTTCAAGTTTTAACTATAGATTAGTTTGTCTTTCTGGAATGTTTAAAAATATAATTATAATATTTTATGTCTGGGTTTTCCCACTTTTACCATAATGTTTTGAGTTTCATCTACATTATTGCATGTATCAATTGTTAATTATTTTTGTTGTTTACTAGAATTCTATTGTATGGATATAAGTAATTTTTTATCCATTGTTCTGTTGATAGACATTTGGGTTATTTCCAGGTTTCAGCTGTCAGGAACAAAACTGCTATAATAACTTACATACAAATCTTACTGGTGACATATATTTTCATTTCTCTAAAATAAACATATAAGACTGGCATTGCTGGGTCATAGGGTAGGAATACCTTTCCCTTCTTAGATTGACTTTCAAAGTGGTCATACTGTTATACTTTCCCACCCTTAATGTAGAGTCCTAATTTCTCCATAAACTCTACAACATTTGGTGTTGTCAATCATCTTGGTTTTAGATGTTCAAATGTGTGTGTAATATTATCTCTTAATAATTTTAGTTTGCATTTTCCTAATAACTGATGGTATTAAACATTTTTCATGTGATTATTGTTCATTTGCGTATTTTCCTTTCTAGTATGTATGCTCATATATTTTGCCCAATGTCATTGTGATGTTGGTCTTTCTACCATAGAGTAGTAGGAATTATTTATAGTCTGGATAAAGGATTTTTCTCAGCTATATTTTACAAGCATTTTTTCCAGAACAGCTTAAACATTCATTCCCTCAATGACTACTTTTGAGGAGAAAGAGGTTTTAATTTTGATAAATTTTATTGTATCGAATTTTTCTTTGTTAGTGCATTCTGATAGAATACTTTATCCCAAATTTATGAAGATATTTTCATGTTTTTTTCTCTATAATTTTTATTTTACATTTTTAGATTTATATGACTTTTCCCAAATTAACTTTTATGAATAGTATAAGATATCAGTTGAAGTTTTTATATTTCCATATGGATATCCAGTTGTCCCAGCACCACTTATTAAAAATACTTCCCTTTCTCCATTGAATTGCTCAGGCACATTTGCAAAGCATAAACTCACTGTATGAGTGTGACTCTTTCTGTACTCAGTATTTTATTCCATGGAGGAACTTACCTATTCTCATGCCAATGTCAGGCTATCTTGATCAGTGTAACTTTACAGTAAATCTTGAAAACAGGTAATGTATATTCTACATTATTGTTCTACTTTTAAATATTATCTTGGCTACTCTAGGTCCTTTTGATTTCCATACACATTTTAGAATAAAACTCATACCTTACCAAAAGAAAAGCTTTCTTGGATTTTCTTTTTTTTTAATATTTATGGGTACATAGTAGGTATATATATATTTGTGTGGTGTGAGATATTTTGACACAGGCATACGATACATAATAATCACATCAGAGTAAATGGAGTATCTATTCCCTTAAGCATTTATCAGCTTTTGTATTACAAACATGTCAATTATACTCTTTTAGTTATTTTACAATGTACAATACCTTTTTGTTGACTGTAATAACCCTCTTGTGCTATCAAGTACTAGATCTTATCCATTGTATCTAATTATATTTTTGTAACCATTAACCATTCCCACTTGATTACCTTTCCCTGCCTCTGGTAACCGTCATTCTATTCTCTATCTCCATGAGTTCAATTGTTTTAATTTTTAGCTCCCACAAGTAAGTGAAAACATAGGATGTTTGTCTTTCGTTTCTGGCTTATTTCACTTAAAATAATGATCTTCAGTTCCATTAACGTTATTGCAAATGATTGGATCTCACTCTTCTTTTATAGCTGAATAGTATTCAATTGTGAATATGTACCACAACTTCTTTACCCATTTTTCTGTTAATGGACACTTAAGTTGCTTCCAAATCTTGTCTATGGTGAATAGTTCTGCAATAAACATGAAAGTACAGATATCTCTTTAACATACTGATTTCCTTTCTTTGGCGTATGTACCTAGGAGTGAGATTGCTGGATCATATGGTAGTTCTATTTTTTATTTTCTCAAAAACCTCCAAACTGTTCTTTATAGTGATTGTACTAATTCACATTCCCACTAACAGTGTAAAAGGGCTCCCTTTTCTCCACATCCTTGCCAGTATTCATTGTTGCCTGTCTTTTGGATAAAAGCCATGTTAACTAGAGTGAGATGAGATATCCTATTGCAATTTTGATTTGAATTTCTGTGATGATTAATGATGGTGAACACCTTTTCATACACCTGTTTGTCATTTGCATGTCTTCTTCTGAGAAATGTCTATTCACATCTTTTGCCCATTTTTAAATCAGGTTATTAGATTTTTTTTTCCTATAGAGCCATTTGAGCTCCTTATATACTCTGGTTATTAATCTATTGTCAGATGACTAGTTTGCAAATATTTTCTCCCCTTCTGTGGATTGTCTTCTCAGTTTGTTGATTTCCATTGCTTGCAGAAGCTTTTTAACTTAATGTTATAACTTGATAGCTTGATGTTATCCAAATTGATCGTTTCTGCTTTGGTTGTCTGTGCTTTTGGGGTCTTACTCAAGAAATCTTTGCCCAGATCAATGTCCTGGAGAGTTGCCACAATGTTTCCTTTTAGTGGTTTCATAATATAAGGTCTTAGATTTTACTCTTTAATCCATTTAGATTTTTATATATGGCGAAAGATGGGGTCTAGTTTCATTCTTCTGCATATGGATATATCCAGTTTTCCCAGCACCATTTATTAAAGAGACTGTCTTTTTCCCCAATGTATGTTCTTGACACCTTTGTTGAAAATGAGTTCACTGTAGATATATGGATTTATTTTCTATTCTGATCCATTGTCCTAAGTGTCTGTTTTTATGCCAGTACTATGCTGTTTTGGTTACTATACCTGTATAGTATAATTTGAAGTCAGATAACATGACTCCTCCAGTTTTGTTCTTTTTCTTCAGGAAGGCTTTGGCTACTCTTGGTATTTTGTGGTTCCATATAGATTCTAAGATTATTTTTGCTATTTTTGTGAAGAAAGTCATTGGTATTTTGATAGGGATTCCATTAAATCTGTAAATTGCTTTAAGTAGTATGGACATTTTAACAATATTGGTACTTCCAATTCATGAGCATGGAATATGTTTTTACTTTTTATGTCCTTCTCATTTTTAACATTAATGTTTTATAGTTTTTATTATAGAGATCTTGCACTTCTTTGGTTAAGTTTATTCCTAGGTATTTTATTTTATTTATACCTATTGGAAATGAGATTACTTTCTTGACTTGTTTTTCAGATTGTTTGCTGTTGGCATATAGAAATGCTACTTATTTTTTATATTGATTCTGTAGCCTGCAACTTTACTGAATTTATTCATCAGTTGTGAATTTTTTTGTGTAGTCTTTAGGATTTCCCAAATATATGATTATATCATCTGTAAACAAAGATAATTTGACTTTCTTTCCAATTTGGATGCTCTTTACTTCTTTCTCAAGTTCGATTGCTCTAGCTAGGATTTCCAGCATGTTGAATAATAGAGGTGAAAGTAAGAACCCTTTTCATGTTCCAGATCTTAAAGGAAAGGCTGTCAGTTTTTTCCCGTTTAGTATGATACTAGCTGTGGGCCTGTCTGTATAGCTTTTATTATACTGAGGTGTATTTATTCTATGCCCCATTTTTCTGTGGATTTTTATCAAGAAGAGTTGTTAAATTTTATTAAATGCTTTGTCAGGATCCATTGAGATGATCATATGGTTTTCATCATTCATTTCGTTGCTATGATGTATGACATTGATTGATTTGCATATGTGAAAACATCCTTGGATTTTGCATTAAATCAAAAGCTTCTTCTACATCTATGGAGATGATCATGTTTTTTGCTTTTAATTCTGTTTGTGTGGCAAATCATATTTATTGATTTTTGTTTGTTGAACCAACTTTACATATCAGAAATAAGCCAACTCGATCATGGTGTATTAACTTTTTGATGTGCTACTGGAATTTGTTTACTGGTATATCGTTGAGGATTTTTGCATATATGTTCATCGGGGATATTAGCCTGAAGTTTTCTTTTTCCGTTGTGTCTCTGCCAGATTTTGATATTAGGCTAATGCTTACTTCAGAGAGTGAGTTAGGGAGGGGCCTCTCTTCCTCAATTTTTTTTGAAATAGTTTCAATGGGATTGTTACCAGTTATTTTTACATCCAGTAAACTTCAGCTGTGAATCCATCTGGTCCTGGGCTTCTTTTTTGTTGCTGGTATATTTTTTCTTACTGATTAATTTCAGAGCCTGCTGTTGGTCTATTCAGAGTTTCATCTCTTCTGATTCAATCTTGGGAGACTGTGTTTGCAAAAGTTTATTCGTTTCCTCCAGATTTTCAAATTCGTGTGCATGGGGTTGTTCATAGTATTCTCTGAGTATCTTCTGTATTTCTGTGGGATTGGTTGTAATTTCACCTTTCTTGTTTCTGATTTCGTTTATTTGAATCTTCTCTCTTTTTTCGTTGTTAATCTAGCTAGCAGTCTAGCAATTTTCTTTATCCTTTCAAATAACCAATTTTGGGTTTCTTTGATTATTGGTATGGATTTCTGGGTCTCAATTACCTTTAGTTCTGGTCTGATTTTAGTTATTAATTTTATTGTACTAGTGTTGGGGTTAGTTTGTTCTCGTTATTCTAATTCCTCTAGATGTAATGTTAAATTGCTAATTTGAGATCTTTCTTTCTGAAATAGGCTTTAGCATTATATACTTTTTGCCTAACACAACTTTTGCCACACCACAGAGATTCTGGTATGTAGTTCCTCTGTTTTCACTGATTTTGAAGAATTTTTTCATTTCTGCCTTAATTACTTTGTTTACACCCAAAAGTTGTTTAGGAGCAAGTTGTTTAATTTCCATGTAATTGTGTGGTTTGGAGAGATATTGATATTGGTTTCTATTTTTCTTCTAGTGTGGTCAGATAGTATGGTTGGTATGTTTTTGATTTATATAAATTTATTGAGACTTCCTCTATGGCTGGGCATGTGGTTGATATTGGAATGTGTTCCATATTGCAGATGGCAAAAATGCATATTCTATGGTTAACAGGTGGAGTATTTTGTAGACTTCTATTAGGTCCCATTGGTCAAGCATTGTGTTTAAGTCCAGAATTTGTTTTGTTGGTTTTCTGTCTTGATGATCTCTCCAACACTGTCAGTCTGGTGTTGAATTATTATTTTGTGTCTAAGTCTTTTCATAGGTGTAGAAGTACTTGTTTTATGAATATGAGTGCTCCAATGTTGGGTGCATATATATATTTAGGATGCCTAAGTCTTCTTGTTGAATTGAACATGTTATCATTATGTGATGCCATTCTTTGTCCTTCTTTACTGTTGTTGGTTTAAAGTATGTTTTATTTGAAATAAGAATAGTGACCTATGTTTTTTATTTTTTCTGTTTGCATGGTAGATCTTTCTGTCACCCTTTATTGTAAGCCTATGATTATAGTTATGTCTTAGTTGGGTCTCTTGAAGACAGCAGATGGATGAGTCTAGTTCTTTTATCCATCTTGCCACTCTGTGTCTTTGAAGTGAGGGTGTTTAGACCATTTACATTCAAAGTTAATAGTGATATATGAGGTTTTAATCCCATCATGAAGTTTTCAGCTGTTTGCTTTGCAGTTTCCATTGTGTGGTTGTTTTATAAAGTCTGCAGGCTATGTGCTTAAGTGTGTTTTTGTGGTAGCAGGTATTATTCTTTGTTTTCCATGTTGAGAACTCCCTTGAGGATCTCTTGTCAAGCTAGTCTAGTGTTAATGAGTTCCCTTCACACTTGCTTATCTGGAAAATGTTTTATATCTCCCTGGCTTATGAAACTTCATTTGGCAAGGTATAACGTTAGTGACTGGCATTTCTTTTCTTTAAGAATGCTGAAAATAGATCCCCAGTCACTCTTGGCTTGTAAGGTTTCTGTTGAGAAGTCCGCATTTAGCCTGCTGAGTTTCCCTTTTCATGTAATCTTACCTTTCTCTATAGCTGAATTTTAGATTTTCTTCTTTAGGGTTGATCTTGAACATTCTAGTGAGTATATGCCTTCGTGATGTTCATTTTGTATAGTATCTTGCAGGTGTTGTCTGGATTTCTTATATCTAAATGTCTACCTCTCTAACAAGATTAGAAAAGTTTTCTTAAATTATTCCCTCAAATATGTTTTCCAGGCTGTTTACTTTTTCTCTGTCTGTCTCAGGAATGCTAGTAATTCATAGGTTTGGTTGCTTTACATAATCCCATATTTCTTGAAAACATTGTTTATTTTTATTTTTTTTCTTTATTTTTATCTGACTGGGCTGATTTGAAAGACTGGTCTTCAAGCTCTTAAATTTCTTTACTTGGCTTGGCCCAGTCTATTGATAAAGCTTTCAATTGTATTTTGAAATTCCTTAAGTGAATTTTCAATTCCAGAAGCTAATTTATTTGTTTTTATGATGTTTCTCTTCCTTCATTTCCTGAATTGCTTTAGACTTTTCTTTGTGTCAATTTTCAACCTTGTCTTGGATCTCATTGAGCTTCCTGGCAATATATACTTTGAATTCTTTATCTGTCATTTCTGAGTTTCCATTTTGGCTAAGGACCATTGCTGGAGAGCTAGTGTGATCTTTTGGTGGTGTCACTACATTTCAGATTTTTCATAGTGCCAGAATTCTCGTGCTGGTTCCCCATAATTTGGAGATGCTGCTGACATTTCTAATTTTTTAGTCATTCTTGTATGGGTAAGATTTTTAATTTTTTTTTCTTTCTTTCCACATGATTCCCTTTGCACTTGCTTCTCTGGAAAATATTTTCATTTCTCATTCACTTATGAAGCCTTCTTTGGTGGGATATAAAATTATTGATTGGAATCTCTTTTCTCTAGATATGCTAACAGTAGGCCACCAATCTCTCCAGACTTGCAAGATTTCTGATGAGAAGTATGCTGTTAACCTGATGACTTTCCCTTTGTAAGTAATATGAACTTTTTCTCTAGTTACCGTTAAGATTTTTTATTTCCCTTTTCCTCTCCACCCCCTCTTTGGGGTGTAGCTGTAGAGAGTGCTGGGTAGGGTCTTTTGACTTTGCTTCTAGAGCCCTATGCACTTCTTTCAGCAGGTTTTGTATCGGGATGTGCAGTTTGACCCGTAAGCCAGTAGATGGCGCTTATAAGTGAGAGCTGGCTGCAGCCAATATAGCTGGATATAAACTTGGTCCTAATTTACTGCCTGAAGCTCTCTGTTGCCTCAGGCAATGGGCTGATTTGTGGAATGTACAGTGGTCTCAGCTCCTGCTCAGCACCTGGGGGCAGAGGCCATGATGGGTGGGTCTGAACCGGGCAGGTCTGCCTACAGGTCTCCCAGAGGCAGGCACGAGCACCAGTGCCATGGGACAATCCAGTGGGTGGCTGCCAAGCACCCAGAAGTGTGTCTAGGTGTGGAGCTGGGAAACCTCCTCAGCCCCATGCTCTCTGCATGGGATCAGGAGTGGCCTAAACTCCTAATTAAAGAGAGTGGGTCTTCCAGAAGCCTGGAGACCTGCCTGGGCGTGCAGTGGAAAGGGCCTCCTTCCACCAGGATCTTTGCACAGGAAATATGGGGTGGGTCAGGCTGCTGATCCAGTTGAGGTGCTGCTCTGAATGCCTGGAAATCTGCCTGGGTGTGAAGCAGAGAGTGCCCTGTTGCACCATGATCTATGCCAATGAAGGGTAAGACAGCTCAGGGTCTTGAACCAGGTGAACTAGTGCTCCAAATGCCTGAATTTCTGCCTGGGGGTGGAGCAGAGAGGGCCCTGCTGCACCACAATCTCAAGAGAGTAGGGTGGGGCAAGCAGCAATGGCATATGCAGATCAGTTTCAGGTCACCAAGCTGGCTCCAGCTGCAAGTCTCACCACCCAAGGGAAACTGCAGCTGTAGTGGCTCTCTTCCCACCCCAGACTTGGTGGGGGTTGGAAGAACCAATTCCAGTACCTACTGCTGAGATGCTTTCCACAGTTTGGGCTGTGGAGGCCCCTACCCACTCAAAAGCAGGTGATCCAATCTCTTTTCGAAGACTAAAATACCTGTGTGGCCACACTGCCGAGTTGCCACGAATGGCTGACTTCATATGTGCCTGGATTTAAACGGCATCCTGCTCTTGATTGTTGGTCTGGAACAGCGTCTGCAACATTTTCTGGTGTCTTTCTCTCACAACATCTCCAAGCCTTTCCCCACTTTAACTTTAAGGTTTGGAAGAAACAAAATGCTCTCCCTTGACCGGGGTTGCTTGGATTCCCAGTAGAAAGGTGAGTCACAGAAGGAGGTTCTCTGCTTCTCTCATATATTAGGGGTTCACTCACTTTTATCAGCCAAATGTCATAAGGGGGGCTGTTTGCTGACATTCTCCTCCCCAGGATCTGGGATGTTCTTCATGATTCCAGTGGATTCCTATTTTTCTTCTTGAATTAAAGCACACAGAGTTCACCTTTATGCACTATCTTGCGATTTCCCAAGTCACAGGGGCATGCTAAAAGCCTCTAATCTGCCATCTTGGACTTGTTTGTCATCATTTTTGAAATTCTTTCTTTGTTCACTTTAAAAATGTTATCACATAGACTTTTGACTCTTTTTTCGGGGGGGATGAGGTGAGAGGGAAGGCAGCTGTTATTCATATCATTGTTCCTGTGTGTGAAATGGATTATTTTTCTCTGGTTGTCAAGATGTTCTCATTATCATTGCATTTTAGCAGTTTGACTATGATGTGTCACAATGTGATATGCTTTGAATTTGTCTACCTTGGAATTAGTTGAAATTCTTAAATCTGTAAATTTATGTTTTTCACCAATTTTTGAATTTTCTGACTTTTTTCCTCGTATATGTATATTTTGTGCTGCAATTTTTCTTTCTTCTACTTCTCAACTACAATAAGTGTATGTTACATCATTCAATATTTCCTCACAGGTCACTTGGGATTCTTCTTTCTTTTTTCTAATGTTTTCTCTCTTCTCTGGATTTTATGATTTTTTCTTTTCTTGTTGCCCAGGCTGGAGTGTAATGGCACGATCTCGGCTCACTGCAACCTCTGCCCCCCAGGTTCAAGCAATTCTCCTTCCTCAGCCTCCCAATTATCTGGAATTACAAGCACCCACTGCCACACCCGGCTAATTTTTGTATTTTTAGTAGAGATGGGGTTTCACCATGTTGTCCAGGCTGGTCTGGAACTCCTAACCTCTGGTGATCCACCCTCCTCGGCGTCCTAAAGTGCTGGGATTACAGGTGTGAGCCACCGCACCTGGCCAATTGTATGGTTTTTATTGGTATATGTATAAATTCACTGACATTTTGTTCTTTCCTCTTCATTTAGCTGTTAATATTATCTGGTGAATTTATTACTTCTAGTATAGTATATTTTCATTTCTAGGATTTCCAAGTTTTTATTATTTTAATTCATCTGCTAAGATTTCCCATAAGTTAACTTATTGTGAATATATTTTATGTTTTTGAACACATTTATAGTTGTCGTTTAAAAGTGCTTACCTGTTATTCCGGCATCTAGGTAAACTCTAAATTACACCCCATTGACAGTGTTTTCAATTTGTTTTCTTGACTAAAGATAAAAATCTCATTTCTTCACATGTCTACCAACATCTGATTAGGTACTGAGTAATGTAAATGACATTTTTTAGAGACTCTATGTCCTGCCATCTCCTTTTGAAAAGTGTTTTGTTTTGTTTTTTTTTTTGGTAGGGGATATATCAGGCAGTTAACTTGTTTATAATCAGATTCCAAATTCTGTCTCTCTTGTGGTGGGCAGCATCTGAAATTGTCAATCAACTTCCTTCGATTTCCTGCTATTACTTTATATTGTACTTCTTGCAGTATCCCCATGTATAGTTCTAAGGATTCATATAGATCTTACATACAGATTTGCGTGGAGCTCATACACAAATTGTATGGCCATCCCCTCTATGGCTTCCCTGGTACTGCAACTTCCACTCTTCCTGTCACTCCAGAAGCACTGAACTCCCGCTTTGAGTTTTCAACCTTATATGTCTGCATGTTTATGTCAAATTTCTAGTCACACAATGCTGCATAAACTGTCAACATGCAAAGAGCCAAATAAATAGTAGTGTCACACAGTGACATTCAATCATTGATTCCTGTTCAGTTTCTACTTACTTTTGGTCACTCTTCAGTGCCTTCAACTAGTTATCTTTTAAATATTTCATATAGAGTTTATTACTTTATCTGACAGACAGCTTGTCTAATATAATCTATTCTGCCATTAATGGAATTTGGAAGCTGGTATACTATTTATTCTTGGTTAGATATTTGTACAATTACTTTATCTTAAACTCTGTCTCAATGGCTAGATTGTGTAATTTTACTTGTAAAAAGTCTTGTTCACTCTTTTAACCACCTAAGCCTAGCTCATTAACTGGCAAAAAGGTCTTCTTTACTGTTTTAATCCCAGCATTAAACACAGTCCTGGCATTAAAAGAGACATAATACATATTTAAGAAGTGTGTAAGGAATTTACTATAATACATTATCATTTACAAAAATTTGCTTCCTCACTTGCAAAAGGATTATATCCAGCCTTGTTGAACTCAGGAAAAGCTATGTTATATGCTTTGGCCAATGACATGCTAGTGAGTAGTGATGGTGTCCCATTTTCAGTCAGAATCTTTAAGATTATTTTTTTCTCCACAACTATGGAGTCATGGAAGCATGTGTTGAGATGAAGCTCCTATGATCCTGGGTCTCAGGATAGCCATGATGAGATGAGAAAAGTCATATTTTAAAGCAGAATAGAAATAGAGTGAAAAAGGAAATATACAAAGAAATACACACAGCACAGTATTGTCACTGAGATTTGTAAGTTGTTTGTTACTACAACTTTATTTAGTCTTGCTTTACTTACATATGCAATAATGAAACAATAACAAAGTTACCCAGGTCAACCCCATCATATAGAATACAACCTCCATGAGAGCAGGGATTTTTTGTCTATATTGTTCATTGCTGCATTCCCGGTGCCTAAAACAGTGTGTGGAATAGTATAGGTTCTCAATAAATTTTTATAAATTAATTTGTCGAATTAATTTAACATGGATCATAAATTAAGGTCAACATCAGTGGAAAATAAAGAAATATAACTTCTCGTTATTTGAAATAATGACACTGAACAGAGCTCCAACCTTTGGAAACACTCTTCAGTCTACATTCTCCACTATTTGGACCTTTGTTTCTGCATCACAAATATACATGCTTGTGTTTGCTAGTTGTAAGTAGAAACTGAAGAAAGTCACTATTGACTTTAATGCAAAAGGAATGGATCTTAGAAAATTAAACATCCAAAGTGACATCAGCAAGATGAATAGGAAGTCCCAGTTTTCTTCCACCCACAAAACACCAATTTAGTTATGATACACGAACCAAACTACCTTTATGAGAGGTCCAGAATCCAGTTAAGAGGTTGTAGTACCTCAGATGAGCACAACACTGAGAACAGCCAATACTGAAATGGATAAGAAGAGCAACTTCAATGTACCAACCTTAGTAATTCCCCCAATATTGCACAGCTCAGTACCATGAGCGAGCACCTTGGCTTACAACTTTCTTCTTAGGTGGAATGAGATTATGTCTAATGTTTCCGGATTTTTGGGTGAACTGCCTGAAGAACCAGTTTCTGTCTTTTCCTGTCTTTCCTCATCCGGAGCACTGGCAGAGCTGGCATAGTTCCTATGTCTTGGGGCACTTAAGAACAAAGAAGAGTGTCAGACAGCTTGCTGAAGCTGGTACAGCTCTGCAAGATTGAGACAAGGTGCAGAATCTGTGGCAACTCTCCCAGAAAGAAGGAGAAATGGAGTATGCTTCCGGTATCTCAACCTATGGTATAGCAGTAAGACAGCAAAGAGCCCAAAAGATTTCAGGCTTCTGAAAGAAAATCAACCAATAAATCCCTTTTAGTAGAAATCTACAGACAAAAATCCAAAGAAGACATCTGTAGAAAAGGTTTGAGAAGCTACCAGAATCTCTAGCCAAGCTAACTGGTAAAGGCCTTTCTCTGTCAAAGCCAGTCCGTAAGAATGGAGAGATGTGACTCTTTCATCAAATATGAAGATACCAACACAAAGCTACAAGAAACATAATTAGGAAAAAATGACCCAATCTGTGAATTTTTAAAAATCTCATGTAAACAATCCCAAAATGATGGAGAACAGTAAATTACCTGGCAAGTAATTAAAAATAATTAACTGAAAAAACTCCATAACATACAAATAAACACAGATAGACAACTAAAGTAAATCAGAAAAATGACATATGAACAAAAGTAGAATATTAAGAAAGAGAAATTATTAAAAAATAGAAATTCT
Organism: Homo sapiens; assembly: GCF_000001405.40. Classification (NCBI taxonomy): domain Eukaryota; kingdom Metazoa; phylum Chordata; class Mammalia; order Primates; family Hominidae; genus Homo; species Homo sapiens. The sequence continues at coordinate 145,399,066 of NC_000023.11, forward strand.
GAAGCTGAATCATAAAAACCTGAACTATAAATTTCACTAGATGGCATCGACAACAGATTTCGATCTAGCAGAAGAAAAAGCAGTAGGCTTAAAAATAGGTTATTTGAAATTATTCAGTCTGAGAAGCAAAAAGAAAAAAAAGACTTTGAAAAAGTGAGGAAATCATACTGGACTTACAAGACACCATCAAGCTAACCAGTAGATGCATTATGGAAACCTCAGTAAAAGAAGAAAAGGAAGAATGATTATTTAAAGAAATAATAACCAAAATGTTTAGAAATCTGAGGCGGTAAATGAACATTCAGATTTATGAGGCCATATAAATTCCAAGTAAGATGAATCCAAATAATTCTACACCAAGATCTATTATAATCAAGTTGTCAAAATTCAAAGAAAAAGAGATAATGTTGAAAGCAATAAGAGAAAAGCAACTTGTCATGTAAAAGTACCTCATAAAAGTATTAATGGTTTCTCAGCAGAAAGCTTGCAGGCCAAGGGCAAGTGGTGTGATATATTCAAAGTGCAGAAAGGGGAAGAAAAACCTGCCAACCAAGGATGTTATGCCTGACAAAAATGTCCTTTAAAAATGGAAACATAAAGACTTTGCCAGACAAAGAATACCTGAGTTAGCTCATTAGTACTAAAATTTTCCTTACAAGAAAGGCTAAGGAGAGTTCTTCAAGTTGAAATGAAAGAATGCTAAACAGCTGCACAAAAGCAAATGACAGTATAAAACTCATCAGAATATGTATATAGATAAATATATAATAATGTAATACAGTAATTGTAGAGTGTAAATCGCTTTTAACTCATAAAATTTAAAGACAAATGTATTAAAAATAAATAAAACTACGAACATGTCGATGTATATAAAATATAAAATGATGCAAATTATAAAATCAATAATGTAAAGGGTTGGGGTGAGTAAGTATATAGAGTTTTTATTTGTATGTGATTGATTTTAAGTTGTTATCAAGTTAAAATAGACTTTTATAACTGTAAGATGTTTTGTGTGAGCCTCATTCATGTTGAACACAAAGAAAATATCTATAGTAGATATACGCAAAAAAAATCCCAAAAAGGAATCAAAACATATCACTATAAAAATCAATGAATCACAATGTAATATAATAAAAGAGGACTACAGAACAGACAAAAACCCATGAACAAAGTGACAGTCATTCTTTTCTGATCAATAACTACTTTAAATGTAAGTGGATTACATTCTCTAACCAAAGACATAAAGGGGCTAAATTGATTTTTTTTAAATCCAAATATATACTGTCTATTACAAAATCATTTTGGATTTAAGCACACAAATAGGCTGAATATGAAGGGATGGAGAAAGCTATCCCATGCAAATGGTAATCAAAAAGAGTAAGGCTGGCTCTATTTATATCTGAAAAACTACCCTTTGAGTCAAAAACTATCATAATAAAGGGGTCGGGCGCAGCGGCTCACACCTTTAATCTCAGCACTTTGGGAGGCCGAGCTGGGCAGATCAGGCGGTCAGGAGATCGAGACCATCCTGGCTAACACGGTGAAACCCAATCTCTACTAAAAATACAAAAAATTAGCCAGGCATGGTGGCATGCGCCTGTACTCCCAGCTACTGGGGAGGCTGAGGCAGGAGAATCGCTTGAACCTGGGAGGCGGAGCTTGCAGTGAGCCAACATCGCGCCACTGCACTCCAGCCTGAGTGACACGGCAAGACTCCATCTCAAAAAAAAAAAAAAAAAAACTGTCATAATAAAGAATGCATATTAGCTATGTATAAGAATGCATATAATTATACATAAGAATACATATAAAAGACAAAATAATGCATATAATGATAAAAATATAAATTTAAGAGGAAGACATAATAAATATATATGCAGCCAACATCAGAAGACATAAAAATAAATATAGCAAATATTGATAGGACTAAAGGGAAGAATATACAGAAATACAATAATGGTAAGAGACTCCAATATTCCACTTTCAGTAATGACTAGAACATCCAGACAGAAAGTCAATAAAAACAGTTACTTGAACACTACAGACCAAATAGAGCTAAGAGACATATACAAAACAATCTATTCAATTTACATAGGTCAAAAAACAAGTCATAACAAATTTAAGAAGATGGAAAGCACATGAAGTATTTTTTCTGACCACAATAGAATGAATCTAGAAATCAATTACAGAAGCAAAACTGGAAAATTCAAAAATATGTGGAAACTAAAACATACTCTTGTACAACCAACCAGTCAAGGGGGAAATCAAAAGGGAAATTGGAAAATATCTTGAGATAAATTAAAATAGATTTACAATACGTCAAGTCATATGGGATGCAGCAAAAGCAGTATTAAGAAGGGATTTTACAGCAATGAAGGCCTGCATTACAAAGGAAGAGTTTCAGTTGAACATCTTAACTTTACACCTCAAGAAACTAGAAAAAGAAGAACATATTAAGCCTAAAGTTGTCAGAGGAAAAACAAGTAATGACTAAAGGAGAAATAAATGAAATGAGAATAGAAAAACAACAGAAAAAATTAAAATAACAGTTGATATTTTTAAAAGACCAGGAAAGTTGAAAAAAAGAAAATTGACAAACCTTAAGCTAGATTAACTAAAACAGGGAAGATACAAATAAATAAAATAAAAAATTAGATACAAGACATTACAAATGATACCACTGAAATAAAAATGATGAGAAGATACTGCTATCAATCATTATATGCCAAAAATTGGATAACTGAGGAGAAATGGATAACTTCCTAGAAACAGACAACCCACCAAGACCGAGTCATGAAGAAATATTATATCTGAGCCATCAAAAATGAGTAATGAGCTGATGTATTAATAACATTTTTATTATTATTTTCTACTATAAAACCCAGGACAAGATGGCTTCACTGGTAAATTCCACCAAATACTTGAAGAATAATTAACACTAATTCTTCTCAAACTCTTCTAAAAAATGAAAGGAGATAGTTTTCACACTCATTTTTTGAGGTCAGCATTACCATGATACCAAAGCAACACAATGATACTACAAAAATAAAAATTACAGCCCAAGACCCCTGATGAACATAGATGCCAAATATTCAACAAAATACTAGCAAACTGAAATTAAAAGCACATTAAAAGGACCATATATCATGATCAAGTGGAATTTCTCCCTGGGATGCAAGACTTCTCAAAACACACAAATCAAAAAATGTGATATACCATATTAACAAAATGAAGGATGAAAATCATATGATCATATCAATAGATGCAGAAAAAGCATTTGACAAAATTCAACAGCATTTCATAATAAAAATCCTCAGGAAACTAGGTTTAAATAGAATTTAACTCAACATAATGGAAGGAATATATGACAAGCTCATAGATACATCATTTTCAGTGGTGAAAAGCTGAAAGCTTTTCCTCTAAGGTCAGGCACTAAAGCAGGATGTCCACACTTGCCACTTTTATTTAATATAGTATTGGGAGTCCTGGCCAAAATAATTAAGGAAGAAAAAAAAATAAAAGGCATCCAAATTGGAAAGATGTAAGATTATTTTTGTTCGTAGATGACATGACATTTCTATACGTAGAAAAGCTCTAAAGATGCCAAATAAACTGTTAAAGAATTCAGTAACTTTGCAGGATACAAAATCAACCTACAGAAATCAGTTGCTTTTCTATACATTAACAATAAACTATTCAATAAAGAAAGTAAGAAAATAATCTCACACACAATAGCATCCAAAATAACAAAATACTTAGCAATAAACTTAACCAAGGAGGTAAAAGACTCATACACTGAAAACTATAAAACATTGATTAAAGTAATTAAAGAAGACATAAATAAATGAAAGATATCCCGGGTTCCTGGATTGGAAGCCTTAATATTTTTTAAACCACTATGCTACTGGCATAAAAACATATATATACACCAATAGAATATAATAAAGATCCTAGAAATAAATCCACACCTATATAGTCAACAGATCTTTGACAAGGATGCCAAGGATACACAATGAAGAAAGGATTGGTTCTTCAACAAACTGTGCTGGGAAAATTAGATAGCCATATGCCAAAAAAGTTACTGGAGTGTAATATTATATCATACACAAAAGTAAACTCAAAAGGGATTAAAAACTTAAGCATAGGACCAGAGATTATTAAACTCCTAGAAGAAAACAAAGGGGAAAAACTTAGTGCCATTGGTCTTACATGATATCAAAAGCAGAGGTAATAAACATATATATAGACAAGTGGGAATACATCAAACTAAAAAGTTTCTGCACAGCAAAGGAAACAATCATTAGTGATGTGAACAATGTATGCTACAGAATGAAAGAAAATATTTGCAAATTATAGTTGATAAGTGGTGAATATCCCAAATATATAAGGAACTCCTACAACTCAATAGCAAAAAAAAGAAAAAACAATTAAAAATGAGTGAAGTATTTGAATAGACAATTTTCTGAAAAAGACATACAAATAGACAACAAGTATATTAAAAGATGCTTGGCTGGGTGCAGTGGCTCACGCCTGTAATTCCAGCACTTTGGGAGGATGAGGCTGTTGGATCATCTGAGGTCAGGAGTTCAAGAACAACCTGGCCAACATGGTGAAAACCCATCTCTACTAAAAATACAAAATTAGCCGAGTGTGGTGGCGAATGCCTGTGATCCCAGCTGCTTGGGAGGCTGAGGCAGGAGAATCGCTTGAACCTGGGAGGCAAAGCTTGCAGTGAGCCAAGATCATGACATTGCACTCCAGCCTGGGCAACAAGAGCAGGAACCCTGTCTCAAAAAAAAAAAAAAAAAAAATGCTTAATGCCTGTAATCATCAGAGAAATGCAAGTCAAAACCACAATGAAATATCACTTCACAACTGTTAGAATGACTAGTATGAAAAAACAAAAGATAAGCTTTGGAGAGGATATAGAGATATTGGAATACTTGTACTCTGTTGGTGGGATTGTAAAATGGTACAGCCACTATAGAAAGCAATATGAAGGTTGATTTCTAAAAGTTTAAAATATAACTATAATACTACTTGTGGATATCTACTCAAAAGATTTGAAATCAGTATGTCAATGAGGTTTCTACACTCCCGTGCTCATTGAAGCATTATTCCTAATAAAGAAGATATGGAAGTAACCTAAATGTTCATCAATGAGTGAATGGATCAACAAAATGTGTTATTACACTATTGAACATTATTTACTTTCTATGGAGAACAAAATACTCCCATATTGACTGAATACGGATGAACCTTGAAGACATTACGCTATGTGCAATAAGCCAGTCTCAGAAGGACAAGTATTGCATGATTTCACTTAAATGAGGTATCTAAAATAGTCAAACTCATAGAAACAGAGTAAAATTGTTGCTGCCAGCACCTGACTGTTCAATGTGTCTGTTTCAGTAAGTTTCAGAGATCTGTTCAGAAAACCCTGTGCCTATAGTTTAACAATACTGTATTGTACACTTAAAAATTTGGTAAAAGGGTAGATCTCATGTTACGTGTTCTTACCACAGTGAAAAAAATAAAATAAAAATATTTTCCGTAGGTTCTATCACATGCAATGGATGAGAAAAATACAATAAATTGCTATATATTTAAATAGAAGTGAAAATTGTTATAATTTATCATTATATATTGCCAACCTAAAATAACAGAAAACCAACTGGAAGGTTTTCACAATCTACTAAAAGATTTTGGTGTAATGACTATATGCAAGGAAAACTTTGAATAATTAATAACTATAGCTGACTAAAGCCATTCTGTCCAATATGGTATCAGCTAGCCACATGTAACTATTAATCACTCAGTATGTGGCTACTCACAGTTAAGATGTGTTCTGACATAAATACTGGATTTTTAAGTTTTAGTAGGAAAAATAATGTAAAATCCCTTATTAATGGTATTTATAAACTACATGTTGAAAATGTCAATATTTTGATATATTGTGTGAAATAAAATTTGTTATGAACAATCTAGAAAAAAGAAGATCAAATATTTAATATAATTATGTGTCCTTAGAATGAGTATGAAGGGGGTCCTTGATGTTTACTGTATACAGGTGATTTTGCCAAGTTCTTCCTCAGGGCTTCCTGGATACCTTGGTAATTCTGGTCTGTAGTTTGGGTGACAACCACTAGAGGGCAATCATATCCTCTAAAGCACAGTTTTCTTTTAAATACAACTGTTTCTGTATGGAGACACAGATATAAAATTAATCTGCAGAAATAATTGAGTAGACCCACATTTTTTAGTTCAATAACATAAAATGAGGGTTCTTAGGCACCTCGAAGATATTCTATGTTCCATACACATGCTAGATGCCTGGTCTTTTATTTATTAATCTTCCTACCTCAGAACAAATGACAAATCCAGAATACCTTTTGTTACTGGCCAGAGATTGCAAAAGTAAACTTGATGTTGTAATATTTGTTAAAATTCAGTTGCAGTATAAAGATTAATCTCTTCAGGTATATATTCCTGTTATTGCTGAGGGCTTAATTTGTGTTTGGCTTCTTAAGTATTACCGAAAGAGCATCTTGGGCTATTCTAGTCTCAGTAGTCATAGATCCTATTTTCCCTTTGGAGTTTATACCACCAAGGGACTCATGTCTCCTTCTTAAATTCAAACTGGGTTTTTCATGCCGGTCAAGTTGGAGTAAAGCCAACTACAGCTTTTCTCTCCCTCTGATTACTAATAAGAAATACGGATTACATATAAAAAGCAACTATCTGAGGACTTTGAAAATTAAAGAATAATAGGGTGTTTGAAGAGAGAAGTTAAAATGTGAAGGACAAGTACTGTGATGCTTTTCTTGTTTGTTTGTTTGTTTGTGTGTGTGTTGCTTTTCTCCTTGATCCCCTAGCTTTGATCCAAGTTGCAGAAATCCACAGACAGAAAACTCCTATAGACAGCTCCTCTTTGTGGCTCAAGGACCAAGGAAAAGGCCCCCTTGACAACTGAGAAGTAGAGAAGAATCTCCCTCCCTCCTTTCCTCCCTTTCTTTCTTTTTTTTCCTTCGACATTATTAAGATGTAGAAAAGATTTTCTTCCAAAGGTGCAGCATGAGGGAATTTGGGGAGGGTGGGTGATGAAATTGTGGTTGTAGTTAGGGGCTCTATGCATTGATCAAAACTCAGAAACCAAAAAGTGAAGTTTACTGTATGTAACTTAGAAACTCAATTACTAAAATATCAAACTGTCCCTAGATGGCATGTTGTTTTGAATGGAACATAAGATTTTGAATTGGGAAGTCATAGGTTCAAGTCTAGTTCTGCTACTTACTAGTTTTTGAATTTTGCATAAATCACTTAACCTCCTTGATCCTCAGTTTCCAATCCTGTACCTGATTACATAAGAATACATATACAAAGAATATATTCCTCTCTCTCTCTCTTTCTCTCTCCATCACAAAGAGAGAAGGAATTCTGCTGCATAGAAGATTAGAAAATCAATCTTTTTCTCTAACCATAACTTTCTCCAATCAGACTTGGCCAACCCTACTAGCTTCTACATCTACCTATTACACAATAGTGACAGAAAATATAGGGGTCCTCAGATCTTCCTCAACCTGCTATGAATATGGCTATTAAATTAAGAACTTAATAGATCTCTTGCTCCTTTTTGATCTCAAAGTGTCTTTTGGAGCTAAATTTGCAAAGAAAAGGCCCTCATTAAAAAAACTAAGTAAATTTAAGGCCAGGCACAGTGGCTCACGCCTGTAGTCCCAACACTTTGGGAGGCCAAGGCGGGCAGATCACTTGAGGCGAAGAGTTTGAGACCAGCCTGGTCAACATGGAGAAATCCTGTCTCTACTAAAAGTACAATAATTAGCCAGACATCGTGGTGTGTGCCTGTAGCCCCAACTACTCAGGAGGCTGAGGCAGGAGAATTGCATGAACTTGGGAGGCAGAGGTCACAGTGAGCCGAGATTGTGCCACTGCACTCCAGCCTGGGTAATAGAGTGAGACCTTATCTTAAAAAAAAAAGAGGAGGCCGGGCACGGTGGCTCATGCCTGTAATCCCAGCACTTTGGGAGGCTGAGGCGGGTGGATCACAAGGTCAGGAGATCAAGCACATCCTGGCTAACACGGTGAAACCCCATCTCTACTAAAAAATACAAAAAATCAACCAGGCGTGGTGGCGGGCGCCTGTAGTCCCAGCTACTCAGGAGGCTGAGGCAGTAGGATGGTGTGAACCCAGAAGGCGGAGCTTGCAGTGAGCCGAGATCGCACCACTGCACTCCAGCCTGGGCGACAGAGCAAGACTCCATCTCAGAAAAAAGGAAAAAAAATCTAAGTAAATTTAATATTAATATGTGGCTTACACATGTAAGTTTGTGTGAGTAATGAAAGGCTATATAATGCTACACTGACTATATAAAACAACAGATTTATTGTATGCCCTGATAATTGATGATATAATATCATATCATATACTACAAATAACTAACATATTAGAATAAACCAAACATTTAAATGGCAGCTTCTCCACACACATAGGTGGTTGGAGTTAGAAAGGACTTCAATTACTACTGGGTCAGTGCTCAAATAATCCTAAAGAGGTTTTAGTTATGTTTATTTTTTCAGTTTAATTTGACTTGCTTTTAAATGAGAAGTTTAACCTTTCACGAACAAAAGCATGAAAAACTTTGAGGGGGAGGGAAATTACAGTGTTTTAACAGACAGGTTCTTGCTGTATCAATGTAATTAATTGAGAAATACTTAGATCTTTGGTACACTGATTATTCAAAGATGTTTGACAGCTCTGTGCTGAAGAAAAATAAATTATATAAAGATTGTAAAAGTTCAAAGGCATATCGAAACTGCTTTTGATTCAGACACAGACAACCTTTGGTCATTGCCTTTTTCTAAACTATTCTCTAGACTTGAACACGAATAAGAATAGTTTGTGTAATTTCATCTCTTCTTTGAATTCAGAATACCACTTTGTTGTGCATAATTTTATACCAATAATTTCCGTTGCAAAACAAAAAAACATACTGTATTATTTTGATCCAAGAAAATATCCATTAGCTTTCTCCTATTCAGTAATTATGGAATGATGCATTTTCTATGAAATAACATATTGTCTGAGGAAGGTACTCACGGGCAAAGAGAGACTCCAGAGGGGAATCACAGCCCAATATGCATATTCTAACCCTTTCTGGAATGCTGAATTTAAGCTGTCACTGTAAAACAATGATATCACTTTTTTTCTTCATTCTGCCCAGGAAAATATTCTGTGGTTGGCACTTGATTTAATTTCATAATTCTAAAACTATCTTATAAAAGTTGAAGAGCTAATTGAAGGGAATTCCTTCAGAGTTGACTATATGAATTAATATCATTTGGCTGTGTCCCCACCCAAATCTCACCTTGAATTGTAATAATCCCCACATGTCAATGGTGGGGCCAGGTGGAGATAATTCAGTCTTGAGGGCGGTTTCCCCCATACTGTTCTCATGGTAGTGAATAAGTCATATGAGATCTGACAGTTGTATAAATGGGAATTTCCTTGCACAAGCTCTCTTGTTTGCTGCCATGTTAGATACGACTTTGCTCCTCATTTGCCTTCCTCCATGACTATAAGGCCTCTCCACCCATGTGGAACTGTGAGTCCATTAAACCTCTTTCCTTAATAAATTACCCAGTCTCAGGTATGATTTTATTAGCCGTGTGAGAACAGACTAATACAGTAAATGGGTACTGGTAGAGTGGGGTACTGCTGTAAAGATACCCAAATATGCGGAAGCGACTTTGGAACTGGGTAACAGGCAGTTACCCAGGTTGAAACAGGTTGAAACAGTTTGGAGCGCTCAGGAGAAGATAGGACAATGTGTGAAAGTTTGGAATTTCCTAGAGACTTCGAGGGCTATGAAGACAGGAAGATGTGGGAACATTTGGAACTTCCTAGGGATTTGCTGAATATGGATTAGACCAAAAAGCTGATATGGATAATAAGGTCCAGGCTGACATGGTCTCACATGGAGATGAGAAACCAGTTGGAAACTGGAGCAAAGGTGAATCTTGTTGTGCTTTAGCAAAGAGACTGATGGCTTTTTGCCCCTGACCTAGAGATATGTAGAACTTTGAACTTGAGGAGATTTGGGGTATCTGGTAGAAGAAATTTCTAACTGCCAAAGTGTTCAAGAGGAAGGAGAGCATAGAAGTTTGAAAAATTATGTGATATAAAAGAAAAACCCATTTTCTGGGGATAAATTCAAGCTGGCTACAGAGATTTGCATAAGTAACGAGGACCCAAATGTTACTCACCAAGAAAATGGGAAAAATGTCTCCAGGGCATGTCTCAGACCTTCATGGCAGTCCCTCCCATCACAGCCCCAGAGGCCTAGGAGAGATAAATGGTTTTGTGGGCCAGGTCCAGGGCCACCCTGCTGTCTGCAGCCTCTGGCCTTGGTGCCCTGCATTCAAGCTGCTCCAGCTATGGCTAAAAGGGGCCAAGGTACAGCTCAGGCTATTGCATCAGAGGGTGCAAGCCCCAAGCCTTGGCAGCTTCCACGTTGTGTTGAGCCTGTGGGTGCACAGAAGTCAAGAATTGAGGTGTGGGAACCTCTGCCTAGATTTCAAAGAATGTAAGGAAACACCTGGATGTCCAGACAGAAGTTTGCTGCAGGGACAATGCCCTCATGGAGAACCTCTGCTAGGGCAGTGTGGAAGGGAAATGTGGGGTTGAAGCCTCCACACACAGTCCCCACTGGGGCACTACCTAGTGGAGCTGTGAGAAGATGGCCATCATCCTCCACACACCCCAGAATGGTAGATCCACTGACAGCTTGCGCCATGCACCTTGAAAAGCCACAGACAGTCAACACCAGCCTGTGAAAGTGGCTGAGATGGAGGCTGTACTTTGAAAAGCCACAGGGGTGAAGCTGCCGAAGATCACGTGAACCCACCACTTGCATCAGCGTGACCTGGATGTGAGACATGGAGTCAAAGGAGATCATTCTGAAGCTTTAAGATTTGACTGCCCCGCTGGATCTCAGACTTGCAGGGGACCTGTAGCCCCTTTGTTCTGGCCAATTTTTCCCATTTGGAACAGGCGTATTTACCTAATGCCTGTATCTCATTGAATCTAGGAAGTAAGTAACTTGCTTTTGATTTTACAGGCTGATAGTCACAAGGGACTTGCCTTTTCTCAGATAAGACCCTGGACTGTGGACTTATGAGTCAATGCTGAAATGAGTTAAGACTTTGGGGTACTGTTGGGAATGCATGATTGGTTTTGATATGTGAGGACATGAGATTTGGGAGGGGCAGGGGTGGAATGATATGGTTTGGCTGTGTCTCCATCCAAATATCACCCTGAATTGTAATAATCCCCATGTGTCAAGGGTGGGGCCAGGTGGAGATAATTGAATCATGGGAGCAGTTTACCCCATACTGTTCTCATAGTAGTGAATAAGTCTCACAAGATCTCTTGGTTTTATAGATGGGAGATCCCCTGCAGAGGCTCTCTTGCCTGCCTCCACATAAGACATGACTTTGCTCCTTATTGGCCTTCCACCATGATTGAGAAGCCTCCCCAGCCATGTGGAACTGTGAGTCCATTAAACCTCTTTCCTTAATAAATTATCCAGTCTCAGGTATGCCTCTATTAGCTGTGTGAGAACAGAGTAATACATGAATGATGAGAATACTTTTCCTGCAAGGCTGTCTACAAGAACATACTGATAAGATGGTGACAAAATAGTTCAGCCACGGTGACTAGTGAAAAGAGCTGAATCAGCGAAGCTGACTATGCTATGGTCCATTTGAATGGCCAGCCTTAAGTTCTAGAGTAGAATCATAGACTCTTCAAGGTGGAAGGGATCATAGATGCCATCTTTAATTCAATCTTCCTTCCAATTCAGAAGTCTCTCAAATGGCTGGCTCATTGGTATCCAGCCTCTGCTTCACCACTCTTAGTAATGAGGAAACATACTGACTCAATTCTTTTTGAGGCACAGAGGTTCCATAATAATATTTGACTAACTTATACCCTAATCATTATTACAAGAAAAGAACTCAATTCCCAAACCTGAATCCAGCAAGAAAGGCAGTCTGCCATTTATACAAGTAGTACATTGAAAGATTAAAATGTATATGGATTTAGGAAGATGGAATAAATTATTGTAAATGAATATGGTGCTATAGTTAATGATAAAATGATGTGTGCTAAATACTTTATGTGATATTTAAATTTTACCCACATTTTGATAATGAACTAAATGTGAAGAGGTTGTGACTTAATTTTTAAATTATTCAGTTTGTATTTCTAGGGTAATTTTATTGATTATTTGCAACTGATATTTATTGCATTCCACTAAGGCTGTGGAATATGTTGAGTACTGATTGAATGTTTATCACTGGTTATTGAGGGGAACATAATTTAAATAACTCCAAATATAATACTGCTCAAAGCTAGATGACATTCAAATTTACAAATCTTATCATACACATATATTTTGACAAACATGACTTAAACCAGGTCCATATAAAATGACCTGGCATAAGCCAAACAAAATTTTTAAATATTTGGAATGGCTTGCATGATATTTGTTTCCAGTATCTTTTTGCATACATTACAGTCTGAGAAGAATAATTTGAAAAGTATGATGAGTGACGATCTCAGTAGGACAAGAAGACATATAGATGTATTGGAAGCCCCAAGGTAAAAGTGCTGTTTAAATGACCAAGTCTCTCCCTGATGATATGTCTATTAAAAGGGCAGAACTTCAAGACGCAACAAAAGTTTTAAGTGAAAACATAGCACTTTCGCTGGTAGGGTCTCTGTATTAGTTCATATTGATGCAAACTTAGTGGCTTGAAATAACACAAATTTATTATCTTATACTTAAGGAGGTCAGAAATCTCAAACGGATCAGCAGGGCTGTGTTCTTTCTTAGGGTCTAGGGGACAATCCATTTCTTTGCCTTTTCCAAATGCTAAAGAGTACCTACATTCCTTGGCCCATGGCCCCTTCCTCTGTATTCAAAGCCAATAGCATCTTCAAATTATTCTCTCTCACTCTTTCCCTTTTTCCTGTTTCTTTTCTTCTTTCTCCTCTCTCCCTTTCTCCTCTCTCTTTCTCTCACATATACACATGTCTCTGCTTCTATCACCCTATCTCCTACTCTGACTCTGAGCCTCCTGCCTTCACCTTATAAGGATTATTGTGATTACATGTGGCCCATCTGGATAATCCAAGACACTCTCCTTATCTCAAGATTGTTAACATTAAACACATCTGCAATGTCGTTTTTACCACATAAGCATACATATTCAAAAGTTATGGGGATTAGGACATGGACATCTTTGGGAGGCCATTATTCTGTGTACCATGTTATCTATGTGCCTGAATGTGGGGGTATGGTCTAGATGACCTAAATTTAATAGTTATGTAGTTAAAAAATATTCTGTTCCCCTAAAGTAAAGAAAGTTGTAAAGTGTTTATATATTTATTTTAGGTCAAAAATTTTAAAGTAAAATATTATGATAATAATTAAGTGAGTTAGTGATAATTATGTCCTTATGTGTTGGTAAGAATAGTCTTACTAAAAATGTCTAAGTTAGAAATTCCAAAAAAATCTTACAAAGTCATTCTGTTATTGATTTTCTTATTCAGTTGTTTGAACCATGCTCCACATATCATCCATTTTCTTTTTTTTCTTTTTTTTCTTTTTTTTTGAGACAGAGTCTCACTCTGTTGCCCAGCTGGAGTGCGGTGGCGCAATCTCAGCTCACTGCAAGCTCCGCCTCCCAGGGTTAAGGATTCTCCTACCTCAGCCTCCTGAGTAGCTGGGATTACAGACGTGCAACACCATGTCCGGCTAATTTTTTACTTTTAGTAGAGACGGGGTTTCACCACGCTGGCCAGGCTGGTCTCAAACTCATGACCTCATGATCTGCCCGCCTTGGCCTCCCAAAGTGCCTGGATTACAGGCGTGAGCCACTGTGCCCAGCAACATCACTCATTTTCTATATACTATGCCCCAAGTTAGTACAACATTGACAAATGTTTGAACAATAATCATTTGTTTCAATACATATAGATTTAAAATATAATGATACTGCTTCTATTAGGTTGGATATTCCTTGAATAATAAATATTTTTTCTGTCAGTGTTGTTTCTAACTATGCAAATGATATGCTTTTGATGTTTAACTGGTCCTGTACGTTTTATTTGTTCACCATATGGTTTTTTAGATAACTGTAGTCTAATTGGTTTGAATCAAGCAACTGACACAAATATGCAGATATAGTCAGAATACAAAATATTTGTATCATAGTTCCCTTCTGCACTATTGTTGAAATATGAATGCTTAAAAATAGTTCCATAGAGCTAGTCTATTTGAATAGTTTGTAATTACGTTCATTGTCAATTGTCTACATTCAGGAGTATGATGCTAACAAGGAAAAATGACTGACCAAATGCATTTATTTAATGTAGTACCAACTCTAGAAGAACACTATGCTTGTGATTATTTGCATTCAGTTAGCACAAAATCAGCATATTTCTCAGTAAAACTGCTGTTAAGAATATACTGTTGTATGACAAAATTCAATGCTTTTAGGCTAATGTTAGATTACTTACTTGGTAAAGTTGTTATTTTTTAAAGGAATATTTTTATAGAAAAAATTGTCTTTCTTTCCTTTATGCAGCTTCTTACCATTTGGTTTTTACAGAAAGCCAAGTGGAGTTTCTTTGATAAAGATCTCTAGCTGGTTACATCCCTCTGTTATTTGCCATCATCCTTTTTTCCTTCTGACCTTCCACAAGCTGTTCCTATTAAATATGAGGTGGACCATGTCATCAGTGAGCATATTTTCATTTCAATGATTGCCAGGATAGCTTTCTGCTGTTCCTTTCTATTAGCTCAAAAGTATTGATGAGTCTATACTATCCTCCACTTAGCATTTAGTTTCAAACAGTTACCAAAGCCTTTCATAAAAGCCGAGTCACCCCTAATTATTCCCTACTCTATGTATCAACGTTTCCCTTCTCACTGTGGACCCTACCTATCATGATTATCTATCTTTATACTAATCCCAAAGTCATTTTTTTCCATGAATATAAATTATAAACCTCCACAAGACCGAATATTTGAAGAAGATGAAGTACATTTTCTAATTCATCTATCTCCCCATAGTACGTAGCATTAGGCTTTACATAAAATAACTCAACAAATGCTGATGACTGTCAGCCCATGTATAATCACAGCATATTGTGAAATAATGCATTCTCTAGGCCAATTTTCTCTAGCATATACTTAGCCTCTTAGTTTTAGGAGGGTAAATATAAATTACTCAGGTCACTGAGATGCTTCTGAAAAAGCATCCTTTATAGTCAGTTAATTATCACCTTAATAATAGTTTGCAATTATTAGACTGTGTCCAGAATTTAAAAATGACAAATTAGAACATATGAAGTCTTGTTGCGCTGATTTCCCCCCTTCAGGTTGATCAGCTTATAAAGCTAACTATAAATTAGGTACTTTTCTCTTTGAAAGAAGCCTATGTCCAAGGAGAGTTCAGTGGATCTGTGCCTAATTTGAAACTGATCCAACAATAAAACACAAAGATAAGCAGAGACTGAAAACAATTCAACCAAATACATTGCTTTGTGTTAATCACTTTCCATTTTTAAATAATCCAGGAGGAATAATGGTAACATTACCTTGATATTATTACTTGTATTATATATCAAATATCAGACAATCTAAAGTACAGAAACTATGCCACTATTAAGCTCTAGTTGCTTTTTTCTTTCTTTTTTGAGGAAAGTAAACTATTCTTTATTTAAGAAGTGATTCATCAGCCAGTATTTTTCTTAGCACTCAATCACGTCTAATTTTACTTTCTTATCCAGGCATTTTCCCCTAAGGCTGGTGATTCTTTCAATAACAAGAGTTTAATGTTCAAGATAAAAAAACAGGGATATTAGTAAAGGCTTCTAAAGAGTGAGATTTATTTTTATCCTTGTACTTGGAATACTGTTATTATGATGATTTGACTTTTTCAATAACTTATTTATTCTTTTCACTGAAGTCAGCATTATCCCACCTATTCACTCTCAAATAATTATGTATACATGGAACTGTGGACATGCACATTTTAGTATATGTTTGGGATAATTGCTGTGTTTGAATTGGTTGAGAATCAGACCACTAAGATCTGAATTAACGCTATTTGACATAGAAACCAGATGGAGGAATGGGCAAAGGTTATGTGTAATGACCCCACTATATAGGAGACAAATTATCTTTTGCCAAGATGTACTCTCAGTTCTCACTAGGGAATCTTATTCACTTCTGTATCTTCATGTGCCATCTGAGCCCTGTCCATCTGTGATTTACCTTCAGGCCAAAAATCACTTGTGTTTTTGATCCTAATGAAAAATAACACTCAAAACATATAGATTATTGCTTCCTCTAGCCCATATTTTCATACTAAGTCTATTTTGTGTCAGTAGTCTACTCTGTAGCACTTTGAATTAGAAAAGAATAAAGAATCCATCCAAACATTTCCCGACCAAGAAGAAACCATTGCCTTCATGGCAGATAATATTTAGCATTACATGACTTGCAGTGACACTGAGGTATATCATGCATGATCCCTACTTGCTCACAAACATGGCACATAAAGGCATCCATATGGACCATGACTAATTGGCATGAATTCTAAACTGTTGTGTGTAGCCAACTGAAAAGGAAAACAATAGACAGTGAAAACGATTATGAAAGTTAAAAGTCCCATTATAAATGCAATACTGGTATTGTATTTACTGATGTACCGATCAAATATAACTATTTGTAAGACATAAGATACTTAACATCCAGTAGGTATTCGGTACTTATAGAAAGTTTCTGCTTCTACAATTAACCAGATTTATGGTGCATTATTATTATTATTATTATTATTACTATTGTTATATTTTAGTGCCATATATTGGTTCATCACAAAGCATTGGTCAAATCCTGGGCAGGGAACTGGTTTACTCATGTTACCCTAGTGAGCACTATTTTATGCGCATCCCTTTTGAAGCCATGTTATCAAAGAGGACAGCTTTCCCACATGATGAAGGAATATTCCTTAATAAATAGTATACAAATAGCTATACTCTCCAACTAGAGTCACATTTAGTAAACATTACTAGAGTTCTTCAAACGAAACTTACTAGGTAATCTCAGTTCCTTACAGAGGGTTGATCACATCCCAAGTGAAGTGTAGTCATCAGGTAATCCTACCACTTTTCACCACCTCTATTCTTACGGCTTGATTCCAAAAAAGTCATCTCTTCTCACCTAGATTATCACAATAGTCTCCTAACTCATTTCAGAAACTTTTTCAATAGTCTCTTTCAGTCTATTATCAATATAACAACCTGCATCATTACCCTGCTCAAAATTTTGTAATAGCTTCTGCTCTTACTCAGAATATAATACAAATCCATACATTGTCCATGAAGGCCCAACTTAACTTACTGCTCCCTCATTTTCTTACTGACTTTAACTGCTACTCTACCTCTCATTCACCTTGCCACAGACATACTGCCCGCTTGTTATTCCTGGAAATTACTGTAATTTTGCCTCAATTTTTGTGCACTGTTTCCTTTGCATGAAATGTTCCTCCCTTAAATGTATACAAGACTCCATACCTCACTTCTTTCAAGTCTTTACTCAAATTTCAGTTTTTCAGAAAGGCTGTTCATGGCCAACCTAACTAAAATGCAACTACTCATTCATATCCCATTTTTCCACTTTTTTCTGATCACTTATTGTGTATTATACTATATATACTTACTAATTTTTATCTTTCACTTTCTACATCTTCCATTGCAATTTAAGATTCACAAGTACAATTCTTATATATTTTATTTATAACTAACTCCCTAGTTAGTGCCTAGAATATTGACTGGTCTGTAAGAGTATAGAAAGACACTAATCCAAGCATGTTTTGGCATGTTTTGTAGGTAAAAATAAAGTAGAAAAAGTTTTAAATGTAAAGTTGAAGTGATTCTTTATTTTATTTTACCATATAGATTACCTTAAGCCAGCAAAAACGACATACATTCAACCAGCTATTATGCCTGATAATGCTATTGTTCCTTCTTACCCATATCGTCATTCACTTATGCCTCTAGTGAAGTATTCCTCAAAGTAATACAAAACAGAAAATGTGTGTGTTCTCAGCTCATCAATTAAAAACAGTCATGCTTGGTGCAGTGGCTCATGTCTGCAATCTCAACACTTGGGGAGGTTGAGGTGGGAAGGATTCCTTGAGCCCAGGAATTAAAAACCAACCTGGTCAACACAGTCAGACACCATCTCTACAAAAATAAAATAATTTTTTAAAAGCCTGGTATGGTGGCATGTACCTATAGTCCCAGCTACTTGGGAGGCTAAGATAGGAAAATCACTTGAGCCCGGGAGGTGGAGGCTGTGGTGAGCCATGATTGTATGACTGTACTCCAGCCTGGATGACAGAGCCTGTCTCAAATAAAAGTCATATAATAAAACAAACTTGGCTTATTCAAAATAGCCTTATTATGGATGGATAGTAGGGAGGTGGTAGGGAGTGCAAGCCTAGAGAGATCTTTTACTAGGCTGTCATCACTGAAAAAATTATGGTAAATGGAAAATCATGGAGAATCATTGATTTAATTCAGTGTTTTATTGTGTTTCAGCCAATGGAAATAGAGAAACAGATTCTTATCACAAAGAAAATTTTAATAACTTTATAGTTTTTGAGAATCAAATTACTTATTAGACTAACTACAGTATGATTTGCATATTTTTCCATTTATACTGTTAGTGGACCAATATTTGTACAAATAAATTGACCCTCCTAAGGTAGAAATTGTTAAAATTTAGAGCTCTGTATTAAAGTTATTGAAAATATTGAAAAGTGGCCCTGTTGAATTGCCTAGTTAATGTAAAAATGAACATTCTATACAAACAAGAAAAGAAGTCAGATATTGTGCTTTGTTGACTTTCAGAATCAAATTAATCTCTTAGTAGTGGGGATTTGGTATAACATAAAAGTTTATTCTGCCTTTTGACATGTTGATACAGAGGTTTTACTATCAGGTTCCAAGAAATTTGTCAAGCTCCAGCATATTTGCCCCCCTTTCCTATATCATGCAGAGAGAGAAAAATGGAACTGCTAGCCAAAAAGCATTCATACATTCTCTTAAATTGTTCTACATGGCCACTTTTTCAGGAACAGGAAACCTGAAAAAAATAGTGCAGTATAACTGGAAAGTCTTCAGATTTAATGGAAATTTTCTTTGTTCTTATAGTGAGTGATATGGTTTGGTTGTGTCCCCACCCATGAGAATCTCACTTTGAATTGTAATAATCTCCACCTGTCAAGGGTGGGGCCAAGTGGAGATAATTCAATCATATGGGCTGTTTTCCCCATACTGTTTTCATGATAGTGAAAAACAGTCTCATGAGCTCTGATGGTTTTATAAAGGGGAGCTCTCTTGCCTGCCACTATGTAAGACATTCCTTTGCCTCTCTTTTGCCTTCCACCATAATTGTGAGGCCTCCCTAGCCATGTGGAACTGTGAGTCCATTAAACCTCTTTCCTTTATAAATTGCCCAGTCTCAGTTATGTCTCTATTAGCAGCCTGAGAACAGACTAATACAATGAGTCTGGTTTAAAATTAGGCACATAGACAAATAGCTTTCAGATTGTGAGCTATTCAAGGACAACTTATAAATCCAATCAATATACATGCCCACAAAGGTCAGAATTTAAAACTTCTTGATTTAGGGGTTTGAGTGTGCAATTATTGAAAGTGCAGTGAACCCCTTGGTGTGGAAATACTTTCTTTTCATTCAGATAGCAAACCATAAGAGATAATAATAGCTTGAAATCAAAGGGGGAATTCCTCAAAGGAAAATGATCATGCACTGGGTGAGTTTAATCTCTCTGTGATATGAGTTCACCAGGAATTTGTAGAGCTAGGTGATATGCATTAAGTATTTTAAATAGCTCTAAAGTGTTTGTTTTGTCTCATCATTTAAATCTAGCTACTTCCAAAGAGGAACAGAGAGAAAATATTCCATTTTAATAATACACATACAGAACACATGTCTTAGGATAAATATCAGATGAAAGTTTGGAGGCTATAGAAAGAAAAGGGAGAGATAATAATGTGTAGGGTTATGGATAATTTTTACTGTGTAATATGCAGATATAATATTTTTAAAGCCATTTCTTTTATTTATCCTGGATAAAAGCACATGTCATAGAAAGGAGTGGTGGCTGTTTGAGGAGCAGGTCAGGGGTAGATAAAGTAGAGAAGTCAAATATGTTCCCTCATTTCTTGGGCTGCCTTTTCATTACGTTGATTTTTTTCCTTTTCTGTGCAGAATCATTTTAGTTTAATGTAGCCCTACTTGTTTATTTTTGCTTTGGTTTCCTATGCTTTTGGTATCTTCCAAAAATTTATTGTCAAGACCAGTGTTCAAGGAGCTTTATCCCTATGTTTTCTTCTAGGAGTTTTAAGGTTTCAGATCTTACATTTAGGTCTTTAATCAAATTTGAGTTAATTTTTTATATGGTTTAGGAGGAGGGTCTGATTTAATTCTTCTCCACGGGTAGGTCTCATTTTCTAATACAGTTTATTGAAAAAACCATCCTTTCTCCATTGTGTATTCTTGGCACTCCTATCAAAGATTGGTTGACTATATATGTATGGATTTATTTATGGGGGTTATATTGTGTTCCATTGATCTATGTGTTAGTTTTTATACCAGTGCCACACTGTTTTGATTATTATGGCTTTGTAATATAGTTTGAAATAAGGACATGTGATGCCTCCATTTTAGTTTTCCTTTCTAAAGATTGCTTTAGCTATTTGGGGTCCCTTGTGGTTGCATATGAATTTTGGGATTTTTTTTCTATTTCTATGGAAAATACCACTGGAATTTTGGTAGGGATTGCACTGAATCTGTAGATCTCTTTGAGTTGTGTGGATATTTTAATAATATTAAGTCTTCCAACCTATGAACATGGGGTGTCTTTCCATTTATTTGTATCATCTTCAATTTCTTTCACTAATGTTGTACAGTTTTCAGTGTACAGATCTTTCACACCATTGATCAAATTTATTCCTAATTATTCTATTATTTTCATGCTATTGTAAATGGAATTATATTTTTAACAGTTTTCATAGTTCATTGTTCGTGTATAAAAACACAACTTACTTTTGTATTGTGATTTTGTATCCTGAAACTTTAGTGAATTAATTTCCTAGTTCTAACAGTTTTAGGTAGAGTCTTTAGGGTTTTCTACACATAAGATTATGATATCTGCAACAGAGACAATTTAACTTCTTTCTTTTCTATTTTGGTGCCATTTTTGTTTAATTGCTGTGGCTGGGACTTCTAGTACTATGTTGAATAGAAGTAGCAAAAGTGGTTCAGAGATAGATTTTTAACATCTATATGTGATATTTATTCACAGGAACAATAGCATATTCATCTCTCCTAAATTCAGACACTGGACTTCTTAGTGTTGGCTATAGAAAGATATTATTGTTGACTATATTTAAAATAGAATTTATCAATAAATACCTAAAATGTATTAACATTTTGTTAATTGCTATTAAGAGCTGCTGAAATGCCATAACTTATATTGTGTCTAGCTGTTTTCAACGTAATTTTGCTTTAATTATATTTTTTTAATTGTTCAGACAATTGTGGTAATAGCATGTGTGTAATTTTATTTACTGTATTTTTCACATAACATGCATTCCTTATAGTTTTAAATATTCTATATGAATTAATTTAATAGCTACAAAATATTCTGAAATTTATCTTAGCTATTTTCCAGTTGTTAAAAACTTGGATTTTTTCCTCATATTCTTGAATATAATATTTCTGTAATGAAGATATTTACGTTTAAAGTTTTGTTCCATATTTGGGAATACTTTCTTAGTATAAATACATAGAATTAAAACGAATGGATTTGCAACTTCAGGTCTTGTGGAAAGCGTATGCCAAGAAGGAGTTAGAAATGCAAGAGATTTATTGAGAAAAATACTTGTGAAATCATAGAGGGCACAGAAGTAGGCAGGGAGAGATCCAGATCACAATGTACATAAGACACTTGTGAAAGAGAGGAAAAGAAAAGTAATTATTATGAAAGATTCTCAAACTGTCATGAAGCTTGGAGAAAGTCTTCACTAGCCCAAAAGAAAGGAGCTCTGGTTATTGTACATTAAGTGTCCCATGTTCTGCAGAAATGCCTAAGCTTTGGTAGCCCTACCATGCTCAGTCAGCTGCCAGGGAAGAGCATGGCTTTGGAGGAAATGTTGCAACAAATAATGAAGGTACTGTATCTAGTGAGTGTCAGCTAATTGCATTCCTCCAGCTGAGCTGCAAGTGATTTCTTGACTCTCCACAGCTATTCCAGCAAATATGGACATTTTTAACAATAATGTAGTATCAAGTTATTTTCTGAAAGGTCTATAAAAATTTACACTCTACTACCCATGTTCTGTCACCAGCTTTTACTGCCATTATTGGTAGTAATTATTAGAACTTTGAAAGTTAAAATTGCTATTCAACTGTTACTTTCGTTTGTATTTTTTGATTAGTAATGATGTGATTTTTCCCATTGGTTTGTTAACCAGTTATTGTTCCTTTCTGTTAATTTATTCCTAACGGAGACTGAATATTATTATATATTTATATATGGTACAAATAGTTTTCTTATTGTTTGCTTTTACTTTTTAATTATTTTAATTCGTTAAAGCTATACCTTTTAATTTTTAGCGATTTTTGCCTGTCACATTAATATGTGAAAATACTCCATAGATTTGAAAACCATTTCTTTATCTTTTTTCTATTTATTAAATTCTTATGTCAGAATGCTATATAAGAATTTATATTGATGTGCTATGACAATGTAAATTTAATGTATCCTAAATTGACAATGTTCTTAATATCAATTACTGAATAAACTTTACTTTCTCTACTGATTTTTTATAATAGCATCAATAATTTTAGATTCCCATGAAAATCCATTATCCATATCTTGAAACCACAATGGGTGTCACCGATATTTACACCTATGCAGTATGGCTACGGACAATTGTATTTCACTATTTAATTTGTATGGTCCTGCCTGCTAGTGACTCTAAGCATCTTTTCATTTACTTCTTCATTCATTCCAGAAATATTTATTAACTCAGCAAAAACGAAATTGACAACGATCCCTTGATTTTTGTATAGAATAGTTATATTTATTAACCAGTTTGTCTCTTATGAATTAATCATTCACATATTTGAAATTGTTCTCTACTTTTTTTCATTTTTTCCATTTGTTGGATTTTCTTTGTATTCTAGAAACATCGTCCTTTCCACATATAATGCAGGGTTAGTATTTTCTCCCAGCTTTTGACATAAAAAAGTTTTAAAATTTTAGGTAGGCAAATCTGTTGATCTTTGTTATATTTCATTCTGCCATATTATTTTAATAACATAGGATAATGTATTATAATATGACACGATATGACACAAATGATACAATATGATATATGATATGATATTGAACAACAATATAATGAACATCTGTGAATCCTCCTCTCAACTCAAAAGCTAGAACCCTTTTTCTCTCAAGATGGTAGATTAGAGGCATCGCTAGCATATCTCTCCCACTTGGAAGGACAAAATAGTGTGTACAGGAAAACTGAAAGGAATCTATGGACCCTTTGAAGGAGTCGAGTAAAGAGCTGTGAGTCCCCAGAGTATGAGAGGAGAGTTTGCCTTGAGGATACACACTCCCACTGGGGACCCTGAAAGTCCAGGCCATGGGGGAAGGCCCTAACCCCACCCAGCACAGGAAGTGACTTGGGGAGTGTTGTGGAATATAAAAGTAGAAGCAGCGTTGGTAGACCCTTGCATGTACTTCCAGACTCCAGTGCGAACCCAGGGCAGCCATTCCTTACTGCTCTTCACAGGTAACCCAGCATAGGACAGCCAAAATCTTCAGGCAGTGGTCACAAGTTGAAAGACGCCCCCAGATGGGGTTTCCTGATATAACCATGGGTGGGGACGAACTCCTTCAGCCAGGGCCAAGGTAAGGGAGAGTGAAAAGTGGGCTGTGAATGCAGGTGTCGTGAGTGCAGGAACCACAGGTGCAATAGCCTAGTGCTTGGCTTTGCAGTGGGTGGGGAGGGGAGTGGTCTGAAGACCAAGGCTGCTGTCTCCATGGGGAAAGCCTATGGCTCCAGGGAGTTGCGAGTTCTGATTACAGGCTGGCTGGAATTCAACTCGCTGCTGTTAGTGAAACACTGTAGGAGTGAATCTGCCTTAGCAAGGGCATTGGGAATGGTGTGGGGCTTACCACCTGCTACTCCTCACTCCCTGCACAAACACTTCTGTGCAGCAGAGACAGCAACGCTCCCCAGTGGACTATAACCAGTGGTCTGAGGCACATTCCCATCCCTCGACGCTGACAGAGGCTGCTACTTGTCCTGCACATGAAGCCAAGAGTGCAAACCTGCCTGACCCAGCCCCTACCTGGCTTTGCCCCTTCACTCACCCTGGTGGCTTAACGAAAAGGACAGAATCTCTTGGGAGCTACACGGTCCCACCCGATGCCTGAGAAACCAGAGTATCATCCCTGGGCAACAGAAGACAAGTAAAAATCCCACTGCTACTACCACAGCTGGTGCTCCTTTGCAAGTGCTACTTTCTGGCTGGAGGCCAACCAATACAGTCCATTACAGCATCTCCTGGTAGAATAACACTGCACCCAGGAAGGAGAAAATGGCTGTGTGATAGCTATCACCCCTTCCTGCACCATGCTGACTAACTTGCTATTGGTCTGCCAAGGCAAGACTAAGCAAAAAGAACAAATCTGGAGGCATCACATTACCTGACTTCAAACTATACTCTAAGGCTATAGTCACCAAAATAGCATGGTATTTGTTTTTAAAAAAGGCACATAGACCAATGGAACAGAATAGAGAACCCTGAAATGAAGCCAAATACTTACAGCCAACTGATATTTGACAAACCATGCAAAAACATAAAGTGGGGAAAGGACACCCTATTCAACAAATGGTGCTGTGATAATTGGCAAGCCACATGTAGGAGAATGAAAGTGGATCCTCATCTCTCACGTTATACAAAAATCAACTAGATTAATCAGACTTAAATCTAAGATCAAAAATCATAAACATTCTAGAAGAAAACCTTGGATAAACTCTTTGGAACATTGGCCTAGGCAAATAATTCATGACTAAGGCCCCAAAAGCAACTGCAACAAAAACAAAAATAAATAAATGGGACTTAATTAAACTAAAAAGTTTCTACACAGCAAAAGAAATAATCAGCAGAGTCAACAGACTCCCAAAGAATGAGAGAAAATATTTACAAACTGTACATCTGAAAGAAGACTAGAATCCAGAATCTACAAGAAACTCAAACAAATCATCAAGACAAAAACAAATAACCCTATCCAATAGTGGGCAAGGGACATGAATAGACATTTCCCTAAAGGAGATATACAAATGGCCAACAAACATATGAAAAAATGCTCAACATTACAAATCATTGGGAAAATGCAAATTGAAACCACAAGGAGACACCACCTTACTCCTACAAGAATGGGCACTATTAAAAATTCATAAAACACTAGATGTTGGCTCGGATGTGGGAAAAATGGAATGCTTATACACTGCTTGTTTGAATGCAAATTTGTACAACTTCTATGCAAAACAGTATGTAGATCCCTTAAAGAGCGAAAAGTAGATTTACCATTTGTATTACTCAGGGCTCTCTGGAAGGACAGAACTAATGGAGTTTATTAAGTATTAACTCACAGGATCACAATGTCTCACAATAAGCCCTCTGCAGGCTAAAAAAAGGAGAGCCAGTCCAAGTTCCAAAACTGAAGAACTTGGAGTCGGAAGTTCGAGGGCAGGAAGCACCCAGCATGGGAGAAAGATGTAAGCTGGGAGGCTAGGCCAGTCTCTCTTTTCACATTTTTCTGCCTGCTTTATATTCTAACCATGTTGGTAGCTGATTAGATGGTGCCCACCCAGATTAAGGGTGGGTTTGCCTTTCCCAGCCCACTGACTCAAATGTTAATCTCCTATGGCAACACTCTCATTGACACACCCAGGATCAATACCTTGTATCCTTCAATCCAATCAAGTTGACACTTGGTATTAATCACCACACCATTTGATTGAGCAATCCCACTACCTGGTACCTACCCAAAGGAAAATAAGTCATTATGTGAAAAAGACACCTGTGCATTTATGTTTATAGCAGCAAAATTCTCAATTACAAAGATGTGGAAGCAACCTAAATGCCCACCGACTAATGAGTAGACAAAGAAAATACTATTCCATGGTATACCATGGAATGCTATTCAGCCATAAAAAGGAACAAAATAATGTGTTTGCAGCAACTTGGATGGAGCTGTATGCCACTCTTCTCAGCGAAGTAACACAGGGATGGAAA
Source organism: Homo sapiens (assembly GCF_000001405.40). NCBI lineage: Eukaryota > Metazoa > Chordata > Mammalia > Primates > Hominidae > Homo > Homo sapiens. The sequence continues at coordinate 145,425,570 of NC_000023.11, forward strand.
ACAAAATAAACACATGTTCTCACTTTTAAGCAGGAGCTAAGCTATGAGTAGGCAAAGGCATATAGAGTGATATAATGGACTTTAGAGACTCAGAAGTGGGAGAGTGGGAGAGGGGCTACGGATTTTTTAAAAAGTACACATTAGGTATAATGTACACTACTAGGGTGATTGGTGCACAAAATTTTCCTAATTCACCACTATAGAATTCATCCATGAAACAAAAAACCACTTGTACCCCAAAAGCTACTTAAATAAAAATTAATTTTAAAGACATGGATACTTATAAATGTCTTCAAAGTATCTATATATTCTATCCCTAGGCCATCCAAATGCTTCCCTGTCTCCACAGTACCATCTTGCATTTTTTATTATCATTCACTTGTTGTTTTTAAAAGGGACAACTGTTTCTCATTACTTGAAGTCTCTGAGTTTGACAGTTTACATACTAGCTAAAGTTTATTTTTAATGACTTCAATACTTCAGCATTTATTTTCAGACAAATGCAGAGTGGGAAAAATTTTGATTTTCCTGATATATATGTTTCCAGTTGAGGTCCAACAATGCAATGCTCTACTGGCTTGTTTCAGCTGTTACACCAAAAATAGTGTGTCATGTGTGTGTGTGTGTGTGTGGTCTATTTAGTTCCATTTCTTTTGCATTTCCATTGACCCTGGGTGTGTCAGTGAGAGTGTTGCCATAGGAGATGTCCAAAACAGTTTAAGTAATATTTTCCATGTGTGATGAAACTGAAAAAGTGACTAAATTTGTGGATTTATGAGATGATGTCTGATTTTTAAAAAATGTATAGTACACAGCAATTTATTGTTATATTAACCTGGGTCAAGAATAGCTGAAACTCTTCTCAACTATTGTTTCATTATAAAGAATTCCTGCATATAATTTGTTATTTGGAAGAAATATGCACTAAATAAGGTATCTTTAAACATAAACACACATAAAACGATGCTATGTATTGATCAATGGATGGAAATACTGTGGCCACATGCTTGCAGGATACTAATTCTGTAATTTCCCTAGGAGCAATGACTTGGTATTTGCTAACTGACTGTTTCCAGTGACTTTATATAACATAATCCCCACGTGCCAAGGGAGGGACATGATGGGAGGCGATTGGATCATGGGGGCAGTTTTCCCCATGATATTCTTGTGATAGTGAGTAAGTCTCATGAAATCTGATCGTTTTAAAAGTGACTCTTCCCCCTTCACCCCTCACTCTTCTCTCTCCTGCTGCCTTGTTTCCCCTTTGCCTTCCACTATGATTGTAAGTTTCCTGAGGCCTCCCCAGCCATTCAGAACTGTGAGTCAATTAAACCTCTTTCCTTTATAAAGTACCCAGTCTCAGGGAAGTTCTTTATAATGATGTGAAAATGGACTAATACAACCATTATAGTGATACGGATTACTTTACTCATGTAGACATATGCACATGTATGGTGTGTGTGTGTGTGTGTGTGCATGTCTGTGTGTATAAATATCTATATTTTAAAAATTATGTGCAGTGATCATACAAGTACTTTATAATCAGAAAAAAAATTATTACAAATATTTGAGAACTGTTTTCCACCTGTTTATTTGCTTTGACCTTTTTGGTGTGGTCTGATTTATAAGAAGGATTTTTTAGGGAAATCCTGTTTTCTTTCATATGGGGTCAGGGAGGTCAGTAAAATTGTCACGAGTGAATTTACTATAGATGTTATTAAACTAAGTGTATTTTATAAATTATATGTGTAAGCACATAGATAGATAAAAGCAAGCTAATGAATTTGAATTGAGCATTTCACATTCTGGGCCATTCTGGGTGTCATCTATGAGAATACAGCGGTATAGTGTCCTGCACAAAACCAACTTCTGAGCTAGAGAGATGAGATGGTAAGTAGAATTATAAATGCGAAGATCCATTTGACAGACTAGGATTTGAATGAAGCTTATTATAGTATAAAATGAAATGTAAACTAGTAATAGCACAATAAGACATAAGACTGCTAAGAACTTTGTGATATGAGTTTGAGCATACACACTAGTATTAAAGATTAGACTGGAGTTAACTTTATTCTCTTGGTACATTTATATAATTACAGGAAGTCATGCATCCTCATTCACTCACTGTATCCATTTATCACATGAATATGCTTTACAAATATTACTGCTAAGACAAAGGAAAACTACACGATGAAAACATCTTTATTTTTCCTCTTCTCTTTAGGGTCTAACGTTCTGCAAATAGTAAAGTCTATTTTGCTATGTTTAGAAAAATGCCCAGCATGCTATAGAGGAGGGGTCTTCAAACATTTGGATGAGATTACAGTGCTACAGGAAAGAGAGTTAAATCTTCAGAGGGTTTATTCCTCTTGGGGAAATTTCTTTCCCTACTGATAGTCCACTATTTGTGAGAGTATCCTGACAAAATCAAGATTTATTAATTCTTCATCTGGTGTCCTGCAAAACTCACTAGGCGCCTAAGGTGTATACTCAAAACACTTTATCGGTTCCTTGTTTACACATTTCTATGTGATTTCTTAACCAGAGAAGCTATTTTGAACTGCATATTTCTTACTAGGACTCCACTAATACCTCCCTCCACCCATATGGATAGCCATATAGTTATTTGGCCACCACGCTGCCTATCATTCATTGGAGTTGATAAGAGAAGAATAAAAGTCAGGAAGTCAAGGAAGTGTTGGCTCTACATTAATTTTAAGACAGTGGTTTTCATTTTGGAGGGAGGAGTCCAAAGATTCCATTGAGTATCTGATGAAAGCAGTGGACCCTTTCCCTTAAAGGTTCTGAATACATATATGCCACGATTCACGTAAAAACTGAAAGTATTTTTTAAAATGTTATAAAACTTGCACATGGATTTTTTAAAAATATACATATTCCAGGTCTAAAACTTTCACTTAAGAGTAATTCAAGGCCTTTCCTCTCATTCTGTTGCAGAGAGAAGTCAGCTCTGCTATCATTGAATTCACTTTGATAAACTGGACTGCGGAGATAGAGAGTTGGGCTTTCATCATAAATGAACTTAGAGCAGCAATATCCTTATATAAAATACAAGAATGGTACCTGAAGGATAGGGGCCCATAAGGCCACTGGATACGTCCTCCAGTTCAGTCAAGTTATCCTGCTTCTTAAATGGGTTTATCCCATTTCTTCAGGGCCTATGGTTGCATGGCTAAATTCCTAAATAATATACATTTATCTAGTGTATCCTGTGTTGATTCACCAATATATATGGGATGGCAGTAAATTGTTAGAGTAGTAATGAGGGTTTTCACATGTGACCCCACTACATCTTTCTTTACTGTAGGCAAAATTAACACCAGTCAACTAGGAAGAAGAGAGTATGATGACAGCAAGCTGAGCTTTTAAATCTACAAGAAGATTCTTTCTTGTACAGCTTCTGGAGATATGATTGCTATGGAGCCAATTTGTACATGTGAACTAAGATGTGAGTGTCTGCCAACATATTCTGGATTCGAGAGACTGAAATATGCCCCCATGCTAATGAGGTACGGACTCTGATTTGTATTTAAATGATGTAATTTTGGAGTCAAATGCCTTTGCCTGAGTGAAAGGAATATAGGTTTTGAAGTCAGACACAGCAAAGTCTGAATTCTAGCTCAGGCACTTCCTATGACCTTGTTTATATTGTTCTTATTCTATGAGTCTGTTTTCTAATCTGTAAAAAGAGTATAAATACTATTTACCTCAGGCACACTGCAAAAATTCTAAATAGTTTAAAATTCCTGATCTTAGCTCTCAGTAATTAGGAACCATATCTGATTATCACCCCGGGGCCAAAGCTTGTGTGCCAGTGTGATTCATCAAGGTAATTATTAAAACTATCAAACAAATTTCGGCATTTCTTGATACCAGGATAAGAAGCCCATGCTTTTTTCCATAAACAATGGGGAGTCATTGAAGATCTATCTCTCCTAATTTTTATATGAATGAAAACAAAAAAATAAGCTAATAAGAAATAATGAAAAGTTATTTCTATATCACTGCAAATTCAGATTCATTGAATTATCTTCTGCAGGCCTCAAAACGCAGTCATTTTTCAAGTGAATGATTTAACATTGCAATGACATTGCACTCTGTTGTTGGTAGTGTTTTCATTATTAGAGGAGCACGTTGTGGACAATTAGCCTGCACTTCAATGATGACATTTGTTCAAAAATTGCCAGGATCACTCATGAAGGCTTGAATTGCACTATTTGAAGAAAAGTGAAGGACTAAAAAAGGTGAGGTTAACATAAGTCATATTTACTTTTATCGTAGGAGTTATAATTGCTGAAAGCCTTCCTAGTTGGCCCAAATGGGGAAACTGAGTCCCCAGTAAGAGAAGAGAGTTGCCTTTAATTGCATAGTAAGATAGAAACAGATTTTGAAGTGGAACAGGAGCACGAATTTTATTTCTAATACTGAGAAGTATGAATGAAACCTTTGTGGGTGGCAGGTCTTTATTCAACAGCTACGTGATCTCCTACTATGGGTGGTGTCAGTAATTCAATGAGTATGTAAGTCTCCATGATTTACCAGGCACTATACTAGGTGAACACATCAGAAAAACCTACAACCCTCATGGGGCTTATAGACTAGAAAACTCAGACAGCAACATATACACACTTGTTATCTAATAATAATTCTGTAACTCTGATACAGGAGATGCACAGGCCTAAGAAAGTATATAAAATGGGGAGATTATATAGTTAAAGAGATCAGTACATATTACTGCAGTCCCAAACAAGTTTTTAAATTATTTTAGAGGCTGCTCTATCCATGAAAATAACTATAAAGGCTATACGAGTCTTTATGTATCAAGTAACTCACAGTTTATTCGCATCCTTTCAAAAACCATGATCTTAGAGTAAGGTCCAACCGATATGTTGTCTAACTCGACTTTATATTTTCATTACAAAATTTCTTACTACATAAGTGCAAAAATTATCCTCAGATTTCAGTTTGTGTTTCACTGGTTTGGAGCTATTACCTTCACCAGGGGGTGATTTGGGCAGGTCTAACGACTAGGGGTCCCCTTGGGACAGGGCCCCAGTAAGAGGACCTTTAACCTATGTCTGTGGCTGTACAGTCAGCCGATACACAAAATAATGTTTAGAATTTGAGTTGGGCCTGGAAAAGCAGTAAGATTTTGGATAGAGTTGGATGTGAGAAGAACCTCAGTTATTCCAATCAGCAAAAGCAGAGAGGGGGATGTGTAGGAGGCTAATTTAGTTAGAGAATAGCAACTGAATCAGTTGGGCTGGGACATTGAGTATGTGAAGGATATAAATAGAAGATAAGATTAGAGCAGCGGCACCACAAAGAAATAATCAATGCTTAAAGTGATATATTTGAAGTGAAATTGTTTGAGTCTCAACCACCAGGCTAAGGAATTTTAATTTTATCATGTTAACAATCGGGAGTCTTTGAAGCTTTTTAAGAAAAAAATATAAACAGAGGAAGCAGTGTTTAGGAAGCCTTTTAAATATACAATAGACAGTTGAAAGGGAAAAAAAAGTGGAGCCTGATAGAAAGTGAAGGATACCAAAACATCAAGGAAAATAAGCATGGCCGCATAGTTAATGTCCCAGGATAGCATATAACAATGGAAGCACAGAGAACCTAGGATGGGCATTTGGAAAATTGTCGGCATTTAAGTATAGCATATGGATGAAGCAAGAGAGAAAGAACAGAGGAAAAGTGGCAGAGTGGTGGTTCTGATTCTGCTGAAAACAGTCAATGTGTGAACAACTAGCAAAAACAGTTTTTGTGTATTCTATAGAACTAGAAAAATCTATAGAGCTAGACAACGAAGAATAAGTCAGTAAAAATAAAACTGTGCCCTGTGATTTTAAAAGACAGATAGAACTTAGCTAACTAGATTAAGTAACCATGAGATGGACAGTAAAGCAAAGAAATGAAGAGAGAGGAGAGCTCAGTAAGATGGAGTGAGGTTGGAATTCTGCTCTGCTGTTTGACCTTACACACCATACTTTCCTCTCTCAGCATCATGTTTCTCTTATGTAAACTACGGGTACTAATACTAACTCATGATGATTTTGTGACTAATACATTTGATAATGCATAAAGTATTTAACATAGTGCCTGGAGTATAATATTTATTAAGAGCTTGCCCTGTGTTGCTTATTATGACATTTGATATAAAGGGAATGACCCCTATGCCTTTCTATGGCCACTGAATAAATCCTCGCATGCAAGATCATCATAGAATATGGTGCCAGGAAAAATAATGTTGGCTTTCCCTAGAAATTGCTGAGCTTCCTGCTTTGTAATAATGAGGGCTATGCAAGTTTTAGTTTTTGTTCACAGGTCTGTTTCCCTTTGGCTTGGTTTCCTGATATATTAGGATGAATTTTGAAACTCAAGTCTAACAAGTAAGTTAACCCTTACAATTTTCATATGTTCTTCTTTATTTCCATGCTTCTGATTTTGTGCTTTTAATGAGTTTCATGGTTTTTAATTATCATTTATTATGTACCGTTTTTTTCCTGGCATGGTGTTAGTTATTCTGCATGCAAGCTCAAAACACCCTTGTAAAGTAAAAATCGTTAACCTTATTTTACATATGAGCAAAGTATAGTTCAGGGAGGTGAAGTTAATTCCAAACTCACACAGTTAATAAGTGCAAGAGTAGGGATTTGCAACTACATTTCTCAGGTCTCAAGCTTTCGCTGTTTCCTTTGTCTTTTCGGGTTTTTTTTGTTTGTTTTGTTTTTTGAGACCGAGTCTCACTCTGTTGCCAGGCTGGAGCGCAGTGGCGTGATCTCAGCTTACTGCAACATCTGCCTCCCGGGTTCAAGCTGTTCTCCTGCCTCAGCCTCCTGAGTAGCTGTGACTACAGGCACGTACCACCACGCCCAGCTAATTTTTATATTTTTAGTAGAGATGGGGTCTCACCATGTTGGCCAGTCTGGTCTCGATCTCTTGACCTGGTGATCTGCCTGCCTCAGCCTCCCAAAGTGCTGGTATTACAAGTGTGAGCCACCGCACATGGTCCGCTGTTTCTTTTACATTTGTTATGAATCACAGGAATGGGTAAAATCACAATAATATAAAAAATGACTTAAAAGCAGTATAGTTGAAAAAGTCTGGGGTTTTTAATGACTGTACATGTAAAATATGTGAACTCTATGATATGACTTCAAAAAAAATTAGCATATGGGACCGACCCATCCACTTCTTTCCAGTCTGACTACATTCACTTCTGGCATTGTACTTCAGCAGGAGGACAGTCAAGCTAGACTGTACTCAAAAGAGGCTAACCAGATGGTAATGAGACCTTAAACTAGTCATGTGAGGATCATTAGAATAAACTTGAGAGCTCTGCATGAAGAAAAGACATAGTGCAAGTATATATATTGTTTTTTTTTACATTTGTGAACTGATTAGAGATTAAACTTGCTTTATGTGGTGCACCAGGACAGAACTAGAACCTGTGACAGAAGTTGCAGAGCAGAAGATTTGAAATAAAAATAAAATTTTCTCATATTAAAGACTATCCATTAATAGAATGAGATGCCTCAAGAGGTGAACTTCAAAGCATTTGAGTTTTTAAGAAGAGGTTCGATAGCCACTTGGGAAAAGCATTGCATAGGAGTTTCAAATAGTAGGTAAGGGATTAGACAGGTGCTAAGGTCATTCCAACCACTAGTTTGTGATTGAAATAAACATAACTGTATTGTCCTATCTATATGTTTTCAGTCAGATGTTTCTGCATCATAAATGTAAGTCAGGATAAGAAGTAATACTGAACCCCAATACCTCCGCTGTGTAAAGCAGAAAAGTTTTATTTGTTTTCATACTTGAGCTCTATTGTGGGTCAGTAAAGAAGCTCTGCTCTGCCTAGTCACTCAGCGCAATTACTTTTGATGTTAACTATCCCAGAGTTAGGCCAAATTTTACAGGTTAAGGGTACAGTCCTTCACAAGACTGCCCTCATTTTATACATCAACCACAAGCTTGGAAGTTTCCAGGGTCATCAACACTTCTGACCAACTAGCCAAAAATTTGGGATTTTCACAACACCTTTTGGTTCAATAACTTGCTAGAACAATGCACAGAACTCAGGAAAACACTATACTTAAAATTAGTTTTATTATAGCAAAATTAATACAAATCAGAAAGAGCCAAAAGAATAGATGTACAGGGTGATGTCTGGGAGTGTCTGTAACACAAAGGTGTCTTCTCCCTATGTATTTAGGATGGATAATTCTCTCAGTATACAGTGTTCTTAACCAGGGAGGCTCACTTGAGCTTTGTTGTTGGTAGTTTTTATTGGGGTTCCATTACATAGTCACAAATGATTGAATCATTGGCTAAGAGGTTGAATTTAATCTTTTACCTCTCCTCCCCTTCCTGGAGGTTGGGCTGATGCCACCTGGCTGAAAACTCTAATGCTGTGATCACATAGTTGGTCTTCTTGACATGGCCAACCCCCACTCTGAGTCACTATCTCACTGTCTTAGTATCAACTATGTAGGGGCCCACCAAGAGTCACCTAATTAGCATAAACTACTAAGTGTGGCCCGCGGGGCCTGCCATGAATGACAAAGACATTTCAATTACTCAAGAAATCTCAAAGTTTAAGGGCTACCTCCCAGAAATGAAGAACACAGGCCAGATAAATTTTTTATTACATAACACTCAGGAACCCCAGGAGGATGAAGCTGCCACCATCTTGAACTTTGATCATTGTAGTGAGAGACAGAAAGAGAAATTTGGGTAGTCTCACAATGATAATTAAATGTCCTGTCCCAGAAAATGGAATGTTATTTCTGTTGACAACTCATTGGCCCAAATTAATCACATGACTCCACCAAACCATAAGGGGTCCACAAAGTACAATTCTTCAATGGGATTGGAAGTGAAGAGTAAAAAGTATTTGACTGATAGCCCTAGTGACTTACCATAAATGTTCTTCAGTTGAACATCATATTCTTAGCACAGTTACTTTTTACCAACATTTTCATTCACAAATTATTTTTTTACATGGATGCCGTCCATGTAAAAATTAGCTAAATATCACTAAAATATCACTATATTGAATGATCTTATCTGGAAACTCATAATTATTTTCATAGATTTAAGGTTTTATTTTGAATAACACAGCATCTGTGTTCGTCTTTTATTTCCCTTAACCATGTTAACTTTAAATTGTGTGTTAAAAATAGAAATGACATGTAGCAGAGTATTGAGTACTTTAAATATTTTTGTTTCTGTGTGAATTTATTTCAATACAAATAATTGTAAAGGGTAAAATAAAATCACTCTGTTACATTAAACTAATAACTTGGGCTTGAAAAGCAAATATTTCTCTTGTATTTGCCAAGTAATCTAGACTACTACCTAGATTTATTTTGGTATCACAAATACTAAGGGGAATGAAGCAGTCTTACACTATTAGTCATGATGTCATACAAACACACAGTTACATAGTTATTAAAATGAGTTCAGAAGGTAATAAATTGTTTCCTTTGCAAAATAGAACTGATAAATAGAGTAAATAAATTAAGAAACACAAAAGCAGTATTCAAGGCCATTCATCTGACATTCAGTGCTCAGTATATATTACCACTTCTGGATGATGTCAAGGCTATCTCATCTGTGGGGAAAAATGAAAAGAATTGAGAAGGGGAAAGATGATTATTTTAAAGAACAGATTCCCTTTTGTTTAAATAATTACAATAGTTGAACCTCCTGCCTTTCCCCATGCCCCAGGCCTATGTGAATAATTGACAGATATATTACTTCACATCAATCATCACCTAAGATGGCACTTCTAGTATCTTTCTGAAATTTCATCATACTTTCCCCCATCTCCTCTTCTGCTAGGAATTCAAGGAAGGAAATACCTAACTAGTCAGGCAGCATGAGAATTTACAGTTCATTTTGAAAAGGCTCTTACAGTATTAGAAACTTTGTTTAGAAATGCAGTTTAAGCTCTCCCTCTCCCTCTCCCTCTCCCCACGGTCTCCCTCTCCCCACGGTCTCCCTCTCCCCACGGTCTCCCTCTCCCCACGGTCTCCCTCTCCCTCTCTTTCCACAGTCTCCCTCTGATGCCGAGCCAAAGCTGGACTGTACTGCTGCCATCTCGGCTCACTGCAACCTCCCTGCCTGATTCTCCTGCCTCAGTCTGCCGAGTGCCTGCGATTGCAGGCGCACGCCACCACGCCTGACAGGTTTTCGTATTTTTTTGGTGGAGACGGGGTTTCGCTGTGTTGGCCGGGCTGGTCTCCAGCTCCTAACCGCGAGTGATCCGCCAGCCTTGGCCTCCCGAGGTGCCGGGATTGCAGACGGAGTCTGGTTCACTCAGTGCTCAATGGTGCCCAGGCTGGAGTGCAGTGGCGTGATCTCAGCTCGCTACAACCTCCACCTCCCAGCCGCCTGCCTTGGCCTCCCAAAGTGCCGAGATTGCAGCCTCTGCCCGGCCACCACCCCGTCTGGGAAGTGAGGAGCGTCTCTGCCTGGCCGCCCATCGTCTGGGATGTGAGGAGCCCCTCTGCCTGGCTGCCCAGTCTGGAAAGCGAGGAGCATCTCTGCCCGGCCGCCATCCCATCTAGGAAGTGAGGAGCACCTCTTCCCTGCCGCCATCCCATCTAGGAAGTGAGGAGCGTCTCTGCCCGGCCGCCCATCATCTGAGATGTGGGGAGCGCCTCTGCCCCGCCGCCCAGTCTGGGATGTGAGGAGCGCCTCTGCCCGGCCGCGACCCTGTCTGGGAGGTGAGGAGCGTCTCTGCCCGGCCACCCCGTCTGAGAAGTGAGGAGACCCTCCGCCCAGCAGCCACCCCGTCTGGGAAGTGAGGAGCGTCTCCGCCCGGCAGCCACCGCGTCGGGGAGGGAGGTGGGGGGTCAGCCCCCGCCAGGCCAGCCGCCCCGTCAGGGAGGGAGGTGGGGGGTTCAGCCCCCCACCCGGCCAGCCGCCCCGTCCGGGAGGTGAGGGGCGCCTCTGCCCGGCCGCCCCTACTGGGAAGTGAGGAGCCCCTCTGCCCGGCTACCACCCCATCTGGGAGGTGTACCCAACAGCTCATTGAGAAAGGGCCATGATGACAATGGCGGTTTTGTGGAATAGAAAGGGGGGAAAGGTGGGGAAAAGATTGAGAAATCGGATGGTTGCCGTGTCTGTGTAGAAAGAGGTAGACATGGGAGACCTTTCATTTTGTTCTGTACTAAGAAAAATTCTTCTGCCTTGGGATCCTGTTGATCTGTGACCTTACCCCCAACCCTGTGCTCTCTGAAACATGTGCTGTGTCCACTCAGGGTTAAATGGATTAAGGGCGGTGCAAGATGTGCTTTGTTAAACAGATGCTTGAAGGCAGCATGCTCGTTCAGAGTCATCACCACTCCCTAATCTCAAGTACCCAGGGACACAAACACTGCGGAAGGCCACAGGGTCCTCTGCCTAGGAAAACCAGAGACCTTTGTTCACTTGTTTATCTGCTGACCTTCCCTCCACTATTGTCCTATGACCCTGCCAAATCCCCCTCTGCGAGAAACACCCAAGAATGATCAATAAAAAAAAAAAAAAGAAAAGAAAAAGATACACAGAGAGCATCTAGGGTTATTCTAGTTCTTAATACAGGTGATGTTTACTTCATGGTTCGTTACACAGTACATTGTTTTATACACTTTTTTCTTTTTTTTTTTTTGTTAGAGGCAGGGTCTCGCCCAGCTGATTTCAAACTCCTGGGTTCAGGCAATCCTCCCACCTCAGCCTCCCTAAGAGCTGGCATTATAGGCGTGAGCCACTGCTCCCGGCCTTGTTTTATGTATTTTTCCATATGTAGGTAATGGCTCATAATAAAAGGTTTTTTTGAAAATACACAAAAAAACTACCATTACACTCCCACCAGACTGGAAACAATTTAAAAGTCCAACCAAGTTTAATCAAGTGTTGTGCAAAAAGTAGAACAAATGGAAGTCTCACACATCCCTGATGGGAGGGCAATGCATTACGCCTCTTTGAAAACCAGACAATATATGATAAAATTGAAGGGGAGCACACCCTACTCAGCAATTCCTTTCCTAACTATATGCTGTCAAGAACTCTTGCACACGCACACACGTATATTCCCAGGCATCTTCTAGAAGAAAATGGTGGTTATTTGTGAGGGTTAGGATTACTAGGAGAGGTCGGGCGCAGTGGCTCACGCCTGTAATCCCAGCTCTTTGGGAGGCAGAGGCAGGAGGATAGCTTGAGCCCAGAAGTTCAAGACCTGCCTGAGCAATATAGTGGGACCCTGTTCTCAAAAATTTAAATAAAAAAAAAAAATCTGCTGGGAGAGAGAGGAAGAGGAGGAGGAAGCAAAAAAAAAAAAAAAAAAAAAAGAAAAGAAAAAGATAAAAAAAAGATTACTGGGAGAAATTCAACTCAGGGTTGCCTCCTCTGGAAGGCCGCATCTGACTAGTCCAGACAGAATTAATGGCTCTGTCTCCTGTCCTCACCCATCACTTCAGTTACCAGTTAGCACAAGTTTTTGGCTGTCTCATTCTCCTTTCCTTCCCCCTCCAAAATTGAAAACTTAATGAAACAAGGACTGTGGTCTGATTCACCTGTCCAAGTCTCTGTTGTATAGAAAGAACACTTCCTAAATGTCTGTCTGATGGATGTTTTTGGAATTAATGCCTAAAAATAAGAAAAATAAGAAACAGGGGTGATCAGACAATCAAGGTTCTAGTACAGAGAATCCTTTTGGAGTTTCTGCTAGATTGACAGAAATCCCCAATTCAGGAGTTAACAGTTAAGAATGGGGGCCTTAGGGCGCGGTGGCTCACGCCTGTAATCGCAGCACTTTGGGAGGCTGAGGCAGGCGGATTATGAGGTCGGGAGATGGAGACCATCCTGGCTAACATGGTGAAACCCTGTCTTTACTAAAAATACAAAAAAATTAGCCGGGCCTGGTGACAGGCGCCTGTAGTCCCAGCTACTCACGAGGCTGAGGCAGGAGAATGGCTTGAACCCAGGAGGCAGAGCTTGCAGTGAGCCGAGTTCACGCCACTGCACTCCAGCCTGGGTGAAAGAGCGAGACTCCATCTCAAAAAATAAAAATAAAATAAAATTAAAAAAAAAAAAAAAGAAATGCAGTTTAAAAGAAAGAATATAGTCTTGAAACCAGAAGTCAAGAGATATCATATGGGATAATTAAAAAGTAATTTACCAGTAACAACAAAAATTCCAATTAGACTCTTCTCACCAGTCCTTAAATATGAAAGTAATTTCCATATATTAAGGACCTAATATGTGTGATTTATATTCATTATCTCAAATAATCCTAATAACATGTGAAACAAATGTTAGGATCCTTAATGGTAAAGTGAGGAAATGGAGGCTCTGAATAATTAAATTATTTGATCAAAACCAGCATAGTCCCAAGATTTACAAATAGAATCATTCTCCTTTCCTTTCAACTAGCAGTTAGTTGGAGCTGACCTTTATTGGTGCACAGGAGCCAATTGTTAAACATTCAGGAATTATATTTGCAGGCTTGTTGTTAAATACGGCCATTATTAAAAATGAAATTATATAAAACTACAATCAAATGAATTATATTAAAATATATAATATTCAAAACTCATCACTTTCGGATTATTTTCCTATGTTCTACTACTATCTGTGTTCTTGAGGTTATTACATACATTGTATCAGAATGGTGAAAATAATATATAACAGTGTACTGCTGGGTACAATGGGTACAATTCACCCATTGTAGAAGTATTTACACCATGGAAATCAACACATGCTATAAACCAGGGCTTGGCTGGGTGCTTTTCTAGATTTAGTAAAATAGTAAAGTGTTAATAATGCAGATTAAACTTAAAAGTGTGCCATGCCTACAGCCATGATGTTGTGAATAGCATAAATAATTTAGGAAATAATCTTCCGCCATTTGAAAACTATTATCCAATCCAGCAAAAATTGACTCACTTCCTTGCCAAAATGAGTGAAGTTTTGACTTTCATCTTTGATGTTTCACTTTCACTTTACTTCTTAATATAAATGAAAGCCTCAGCCAACATTTATGTTAGAACTACATTAATTCATCAGTTGTGATGAGAATGTAGAAATTAGGAAAAATCAACAAAAGCATTCTGTGAGAATAACAACTATATGGATTGACAATAAAGTACAATAAAGAGTATTGTATATTTTATTCATATTTGCAAATTGCATGCAACACATGCTAAGTATCATCAAAAATTTAAAATATGCATATATGTATACACACACACACACACACACACACACACACGTATGTTTATATATTGCATGCTGCTTAATCATTTGCCAGAATACCAACAGCTTTCAATGGTATGATGTCAAAATTCAGTGAAACCGCTTTTGCCAAAAAAAAAAAACTGATAAGCCCCCTAGTTACTAAATTCAGTTCTCTTTTATTTTATCTATTTGTAGCATTTGGCACTTCAGCAACTCTTTTTTTTTTTTTTTTTTTTTTTTTTTAGTGAATTATTCTTAGTTTCCGGGAACCACTCCATCTTTGCCTTTACCATAGTTCAATGTAAGTCCCTATATCCTAAATATTGGTATTCCAAGGCATTCTATTATATGGTCTCTAGTGTCACAATATTTACTCCTTGGGCAATATTAGCTACTCACACAGTCTTAACGACAACTAATAATTTGATAACTTCCAAATATGTAACTCTAACATAGCTATCTCGCTTGGCATTGTTTGGGCAAATGTATAGATATCCCTAAGTGAATATTTATCAATAACTTTGCACTTAACACAGCCAAAATTAAATATGACTTGTCTTGCAAATGTGCTTCTTCCTTGTTATTTTCTAACCTGATTAATGGCATTATGCATTCATCCAAAAATATGTGAATCATCGTAGATTTCTCACCCAAGCGTATTTTCAATCAATTATGAAGTCCCTTGATCTGATACAATTCTCCTTTCTTTCCAAACCTTGAGCTAATGTTTTATTTGGGTTCTAGCCATCTGTTGTCTGGACTCTTGTAATAAGCTTCTAACTCACATGTATTTTTGTCCACCCATACTTAGTCCAACAAACTGCTGCCAGTGAGGTATTTATAAAAATGCAAATATAATCATATTATTTTCCTAGATGAAATTCAATTTTCTATAGTAGTGTTTCAGACTTTTTCACTGCAACCTCTGGAAAGAGACACTTTGTTTGTCAAGACCCAGTGTATACAATGGGCATGTGAGCATGTACCTACATGCACGCACACATCCAATAGAAAAAAAATATAACAAAACAGTGCTTTGCACTCTGCTATTTGGTATTATATATAATTTTTTAAATGCTGGCTGACTATAGGCCACAAAATTATTTTATGACCTACTAATTGAATGTGAGCCATCAGTTTATAAATTACTGAAGTAGAGCAAAATATATATATATCTCTTATGCATAGTACACAAAGCCATTCACAATTAAAAGTAAAAATAGAAAATACTTTGAAATGAATAGTAATAAAATATAAACTATCAAAATTTGTTGGAGGATTCTATAAATCTAAAACTATTCTAAAATAAAGTTCATTAAAATGTTGGATATAGCAAAAGCAGTACTTAGAGGATAATTTAACATTTCAAAGTTTTATATTAGAAATGAATAAAGGTTTAAGATAACTGACGGAAGTATTCTCCTTGAGAAGCTAGAAAAGTCAGATTAAGCTCAAAGTACATAAAGGAAACAATAAGTATAGGAGCACAGATCAATAAAACATAAGAAAAATATATAATTATAAAATAAAACCAAGGCTGGGTGTGGTGGCTCACGCCTGTAATCCCAGCACTTTGAGAGGTCAAGGCGGGTGGATCACCTGAGGTCCAGAGTTCGAGACCAGCCTGGCCAACATGACGAAACCCCATCTCTACTAAAAATGCAAAAATTAGCCAGGCATGGTGGTGCACGCCTGTAATGCCAACTACTCAGGAGGCTGAGGCAGGAGAATTGCTTGAACCTGGGAGGTGCAGGTTGCAGTAAGCCGAGATTGCGCCACTGTACTCCAGCCTTAGAGACAGAGTGAGACTCCACCTCAGAAAAATAAATAAATAAAATAAAATAAAACCAAGTTATTTATTTGAAATAATTAATAAAGTCTATAAACTCCTAGGATAATTGAGTAAAGAAAAAAGATATAAAAATAATTTATCAATATCAGAATAAAATGGTAGGGATATTCTCAGCAGAATTTACACAAAGGGTCAACTAAATTTTCTGCAATGACGGAAATGTTTGATAACCTGTGCTGCTTAGTGATGTCGCTTCTACTCACATTTGGCTATTAAGCACATGAAATGTAGCCACTCTAACAAAAGAACTAGAACTTTAATTTAATTTTTAATTGAATTGAATTGAATTTAGATAGCCACATATATGGAATTTTGAACCCATGGACATGGTATGTCTGTAATTATTTAGATTTTCTTAAAATTGTTAAGGTAACAATTCTCCTTAATTTTAGAGATGTGTGTGTGCCTATGTGTGTTTATTCAATGTAATTTCAGTCATAACACCAATGGGCTTTTTCATAAAAATTGGCAATCTGATTCTAACATTTATATGAAAAGAACTAGAATATCCAAGGCAATCTTGCAAAGGAAAAAACAAACAGGTATCCTTATTTAACTCAACTGTAAGACTTAGTATAATGCACAATAATCACTACAGTATGATGCTGACTTAACAACCATGCCAGGCGCAGTGGTTCACGCCTGTAATCCCAGCACTTTGGGAGGCTGAGGCGGGTCGATCATGAGGTCAGGGGTTCAAGACCAGCCTGGCCAAGATGGTGAAACCCCGTCTCTACTAAAAATACAAAAATTAGCCAGGCGTGGTGGCACACACCTGTAATCCCAGCTACTTGGGAGGCTGAGGCAGAGAATTGCTTAAACCCGGGAGGCAGAGGTTGCAGTGAGCTGAGATCGCGCCACTGCACTCCAGCCTAGGTGACAGAGTGAGACTCCGCTTCAAAAAAAAAAAATGAAAGAATTAACAACTAGATCAATAGCAAAGAATAAATATCACAGTAATAGACCCCAAAATATATACCCATCTGATTTTCAATAATGACAGTGATGGAGTCCAATGGGGGAAAAGCATTTTTAATGAATGAAGCTAGAATAATTGGACAACCATAAAGAAAAACATGAACCTTGTCCCTGCCTCACAGTATGCATAATAAATAATCAGATAGATTATAATCTTAAATGTGAAAGCGAAAACCATAAATTTCTTAGAAGAAAACCTAGGAGAATATTTTCATGATTTGGACTAGTCATAGAGAGCAATAATCACAAAATATAATTTATATATTTGATTTAATTGGAATATTAAAATTGTATCTATATATCAAAATAATGCATTAAGAGAGTGAATAGGCAAGTCCCAAACTAGGAGAAAATATTTGTAAACACATATCTGACAAAGAATGTCACTAATTTTATAATTAATGATGTTATACAATTTATTATATAATTATATAATTTGATTACAATTCAATAATCAAAAGAAAAGCAACCTAACAAATACGGGAAGAATATTTGAATAGACATTTCACAGGAAAAGATATATGAATGGCCAAAAAGCAAATGAAAAGGTGCCCAGTATCATTAATCATGAGGGAAATACAATGTAAAACCACAGTGTGATAACACTACACATTTGCCAGATTGCCTAAGACTTTGATATGGCTTGGCTCTGTCCTCACCCAAATCTCATCTTGAATTGTAGTTCCCATAATCCTTACGTGTCATGTAAGGGTTTCAGGAGGAGGCAACTGAATTATAGGGGCGGGTCTTTCCTGTGCTGTTCTCATAATAGTGAATAAGTCTCATGAGATCTGATGGTTTTAGAAAGGGCAGTTCCCCTGCACTCACTCTCTTGACTACCACTATGTAAGACTTGACTTTGCTCCTCCTTCACCTTCCTCCATGATTGTGAGGCCTCCCCAGCCATGCAGAGCTGAGTCCATTAAACCTCTTTCCTTTATAAATTACCCAGTTTTGTATATGTATTCATTAGCAACATGAGAACAGACTAATACAGTAAATTGGTGTCAGGTAATGGGGTACTGCTGTAAATAGATACCCAAAACTGTGGAGGCAACTTTAGAACTGGGTAATAGGACGGCAACCATCCTCCAAAACCCAGAATGCTAGATCCACTGACAGCTTGCATCGTGCACCTGGAAAAGCCACAGACACTCAACACTAGCCTGTGAAAGCAGCCAGGAGCGGGATTGTATCCTGCAAAGTCACAGGGGCAGAGTTGTCCATGGCTGTGGAAGCCTACCTCTTGCATCAGTGTGTCCTGGATGTGAGACACGGAGTCAAAGGAGATCATTTTGGAGCTTTAAGATTTAACTTCGCTGCTAGATTTGGGACTTCCATGGGGCCTGTAGCCTTTTGGTTTTGGCCAAATTCTCCCACTTGGAATAGATGTATTTACCCAATGCCTGTACCCACATTGTATCTAGGAAGTAACTAACTTGCTTTAGATTTTACAGGCTCATAGGCAGAAGGGACTTGCCTTGTCTCAGATGAGACTTTGGACTGTGGACTTTTGAGTTAATGCTGAAATGAGTTAAGACTTTGGAGGACTGTTGGGAAGGCATGATTAGTTTTGAAATGTGAGGACATGAGATTTGGGAGGGGCCGGGGTGAATTATATGGTTTGGCTGTGTTTCCACCCAAATCTCATCTTGAATTATAGCTCCCATAACCCCCATGTGCTGTGGGAGGGACCTGGTGGAAGGTAACTGAATCATGGGTATGGATCTTTCCTTTGCTGTTCTCATGATAGTGAGTAAGTCTTACAAAATCTGATGGTTTTATAAGGGGGAGTTCCTCTGCACACTCTCTCTTGCCTGCCACCATGTACGATGTGATTTTGTTCCTCCTTCACCTTCCACCATGATTGTGAGGCCTCTCCAGCCATGTGGCACTGTGAGTCAATTAAACCTCTTTCCTTTATAAATTACCCAGTCTTACATATGTCTTCATTAGCTGTGTGAGAACAGACTAATACAGACTTTAAGAGATTGATAATACCAAATATTGGCAAGAATGTGAAATGACTATGACTCTCAAACATTGTTGGGAGAAGTAGTAAAGTCACTCTGGAAAATAATCTGGCAGTTTCCTTAAAATTAAGGAAACACCCACCCTATAACCCAGAAATAAACATCCTAGGTATTCCACAAAAATAATTATACAAGAATGTTCACAGGAATTTAATAATAACCAAAGGTGGAAAAAGACAAGTATTCTTTTAAAAGGAAAATGGACAAACAAGCTGCGGAGTGTTCATACAATGGAAGACTGCATAACAACAAAGAGAAATCAACTACTGATACACAGCAATATGCAGGAATCTCAAAAATCATTATGCTGGATTAAAAAAAAAAGCCTTTCAGAAAAAAGTATGCAATGATTTCATTTATATAAAGTTCTGTTAGGCAAAACTAATCTATGGTGGGAAAATGTGAGAGCAATCATTGCCTTTGGAGGATAGAGATGAGGATTGACTACAAAGGGAATGAGAAAATTTTCTGGGGTGATGATAACATTTTATACCTTTATAGTTTAGGCTATGCAGATGTATGCATTTCCCAAAATTTAAGAAACAGTGCTCCTAATATTTGTGCATTTCATTGTATACAAAATTTACCACAAAAGAAAAAAATGCACAATAAGGACATTTTGAATTATACTTAAATATATGATCACTGAAGTAGTTTGAGACAGAGTTTTGCTCTTGTTGCCCTGGCTGGAGTGCAGTGGTGCCATCTCGGCTCACTGCAACCTCCGCCTCCCAGGTTCAAGTGGTCCTCCTGCCTCAGCCTCCTGAGTAGCTGGGATTACAGGCATGTGCCACCACGGCCAGTTAATTTTGTATTTTTAGTGGAGAGGGGGTTTCTCCATGTTGGTCAGGCTGGTCTCAGACTCCCACCTCAGGTGATCCGCCTGCCTCCGCCTCCCAAAATGCTAGGATTACAGGTGTGAGCCACTGTGCCCGGCCTATATAGCTTATTTGTTTATGCATGAGAATATAAGATATATTGATGAATAGATATGCGAGAAAGCAAGTATAGGAAAGGGTTAATGATAGCCTCTAGTTGGTGGCTATATGGGTATACATTCAAACATGGTATGAACTGAATGTTTCTGTCCTCCCAAAATTCTTATGTTGAAATCCTGGCCAGGTGCGGTTGCTCATGCCTGTAATCCTAGCACTTTGGGAGGCCGAGGTGGGCAGATCACCTGACGTCAGGAGTTTGAGACCAGCCTGGCCAACATGGTGAAACCCTGTCTCTACTGAAAATACAAAAAAAAAAAAAAAATTAGCTGGGCATAGTGGTGGGCGCCTGTAATCCCAAGTACTCAGGAGGCTGAGGTAGAGTATCACTTGAACCTGGGAGATGGAGCTTGCAGTGAGCCGAGATCACGCCACTGCACTCCAGCCTGGGCAACAGAGTGAGACTCCATCTCAAAAAATAAGAAAAGAAATCCTAACCCCAAAAGTGATGTCATTAGGAGGAGTGGTCTTTAGAAGGTAAGTAGGTCACAAGAGTGGATCCCCCATGAATAGGATTAGTGCCCTTATAAAAAGGACAAAGAGGAATTGATTTTCTCTCTCTGCCCTCTGCTGTTTGAGGACGTAGCAAGAAGTCATTAGTCTACAACAGAGAAGAGGGCCCTCACCAGAACCTGACCATGCTGGCACTCTGTGCTCATACTTTTCAGCCTCCTAAACTGTGAGAAATAAATTTCTGTTGTCTAAGCCACCAAATATATGGTAAGTTGTTATAGAAGCCCAAACTAAGACAAAAATCTTATAACTTTTTAATATGTTTGAAATTAGTATTAATATGTTTTTAAAAAATAATGCTGTATGAAAAAGGCAGACAAAGAAGAGTGCATATTGTCTTCTTATGTTTATTTGATATACAAGAGCAGTTACAAGTAATCTATGGGGAGAAAAGTGGAAACAGTGATTAACAGTAGGAATGGGGATTGACTGGAAGGGGTAAAAGGAAGTATTCTGGTGTGACAGAAAAGCTCTATGTGGAGGATGGCTGCATGAATGTATATATTTATCAAAATTTTTCACATCTACACTAAAAAGGTATGTATTTCACTCTATGTAAATTTTATCTGAATACAAAAAAATAATTTAAAAATAACATTCAGCACCATCTTAATACCAGATGTTGAGTTCAGAGACAAAAGTATTAAACAATACAATGAAAGATACTTTCATAATATGAAAGTGAACAATTCACGATGCAGATTTTAGGTTATGATATTAATGTCCCAAATAAAATAGCATCAAAATGTATGCTGTGTAATACCACAGGTGCAATAATATCTGACTCTGTCACTGTGTTTAACTTCTTACAGTTTTCTAGCCTCACTACTCTCTCTTCCTCTTCTGCCCTAGATGTGGGCAAAGTAGTAAAAGAATCTAGGTGTCACCTACATCAGTGCTAGTGCTAAGTTCAAACCATAAAAGCCTTGGCCATACAAGGGAGAACACTCACTCCAGCCCCACCCCATGACCGTGATGAAAACCTCAAGTTAGTCTCCTTTCCATGCAATATCAAGTCATTTTTGTACCTTGCTTGGGAGCTGCCTAGCTCTCTATGGAAATCCTCATTTTGTGAGTGATAAATCATTTCAAACCCTCTTGTGTGGCATCATCAGTGTCAACATTTGAACCAAATCGTGGGTGAGGGGATTCATCCCACCTCTATGAAGTGATCACTTACAATAGGGAATGCAATAAATAGAAATAGATTATAGGGATAAGCTTTACCTTTTTTTCTCTTGAAATGCCACATAACAACAACAGATAAAGCATTTCTCTTTTCTATTTCTGAATAACAAAACACCTCATTACTTAAAGGTGTAAAACCAATTTATTACTATTTCTCATAGCTCCTACTGTTGACTGAGCTAACTTGGGTAGGTCTCACTAAGTTGTCTTAGATGCCATGGATGGAGCCAACTGAAGGCTTCTTCACTCACATGTCTGATTCAGTAATGAATATAAATGAGGCCGGACATAGTGGCTCACACTTGTAATCCCACCACTGTGAGAGGCCGAGGCGGGTGGATCACCTGAGGTCAAGAGTTCGAGACCAGCCTGGCCAACATGGCGAAACCCCGTCTCTACTAAAAAATACAGAAATTAGCTGGGTGTGTTAGTGTGTGCCTGAAATCCCAGCTACTCAGGAGGCTGAGGCACGAGAATGCTTGCACCTGGGAGGTGGAGGCTACAGTGAGCTGAGATTGTGCCACTGCACTACAGCCTGGGCAACAGAGTGAGACTCTGTCTAAATAAATAAATAAATAAATACATACATACATAGACAAGACATGCTCATGAATCTTAGAGTGTAATGAGAAAGCAAATAATTATATGAATTGCAATATACTCATAAGTAAGATCATCAGTGAAAATAAATGAATTATAGCAGTATCAACATGTATAAATCCTCAAAACACTGCACGATGAGAAATAAGTTGCATAAGCCTACATTGTACCCGATACACACACACACACACACAC
Source organism: Homo sapiens (assembly GCF_000001405.40). NCBI lineage: Eukaryota > Metazoa > Chordata > Mammalia > Primates > Hominidae > Homo > Homo sapiens. Next base: position 145,448,180 of record NC_000023.11, read on the forward strand.
ACACACACACACACACGCATATGTGTGTATGTATAATTTAGGAATCTTACTTATTAGTAGTAAACTAGTTAAGACATGTATCTAAGTGATAAGTACCAAATTCAGGATAGCTGTTAGCACTGGGAAGGTAAAAGGGTGAAAAAAGAAAGGGAATGGTCATTTGAAGGAGGTTTGGAGGTTTGATTGAATTTGTAATGCTATATTTTTTACCTAGGTCATGGCCACACAGGTGTCCGTTGTATTATATTTTTATGCTTTTGTAAATCTGTAACACTCATAATGAGAAGAAAATTCTGAATGCACTTCAAAGTAAAACCGTAATTCTATACAGATATTCAATTATAAATTCATATACAAGAGCTTTTGTCATTATCATCAGTAAATATTTATGAAAAGCTTTTTTTTAAAAGGGCGGAGGGAAGAGATACAACATGTATTATTCACTGGCCCAAAGATTGCTAGACACTGTGGAAAGTTTGATGATTTGATCTATTATTTTTATGAGCATCTTCTAGCCATGAGATGAGTTCCTTATATGGCCAATCTGGCCATCCTTGATTTTGTCTATTCAGATGATTTCCTTTTTAAAGTGTCTCTCAATTCTACTGACAAATTAGTAAGGATTTCCCCATGGCTGAAGCAGGGTGGAATTTTCTGCTAAATAAGAGGGCCATTCCTTCTTGGTGCTAGTCTTCAGAATTGAGGATTGATTGAGAGGCTGAGCAAGCATATGTCACTTACCAGATTGGTTTTTAGAATTATAGATGGAATAAAACCTTAGTTGAATGCCTCAAAATGTATTTTGAGGAATTCTATTTGATAGTAACCAAGGCCAGAATCACCACTGGGTCATGCTGTTCGAATCCCTGAGTGAACAAATGGAAAAATCAATAATAGGTTAATCCTCTAGGGCTTCGTTTCTCTCCTGGATGCAACACCTTTTTATTTTGCTCCCTGTTTAATGGCTATGGCCTTGCATTTTGGAAAAAAACCATAGGCTGGAGTGTTGAGTTGGGAGACATCTCTAATATTCCTTAGAGCAATAGTGACCTCCGTGTTGCATTCTGGAATACTCAGTATCACTTATTTTTACTTAGTACAGGTCATACCAGAAGTCCACTGGAGAGGCCCTTAGTTCCTGGGCTCTCTTATTTCTCTGATTCCTCTCAGACAACCTTATTCAAATCACCAGATTGCATATTTACCTAATTAGCACACCTATTTTAATTTTAGAAATTTGCTGCAGCAGAGAATTTGGCTACCGCAATTCAATAAATTTCATGATTATAGAAATGTTGACACTTTCAAAGTCATTGGCTATAGTTATAAAGGTTGTCAGTAACAGACTGTGTTATAAGTAGTTAATTCTATGTTTTCAAGTAAACAATCATGGATTGCAACACTTTTTATTTAACATTATTTTATCTCTCAAGGTCCTAGCGGGAAATTGATGGCATTTTCAAACTGAATAATTTGAAAATAAATTAGTAAAAAGACAACTTATATAGTTGTGTTCAGGGTTCAGAAAAACCAACCACAGATAGTGCAATATCCCAGGACTAACAACAAGTAGTTCTTATGACACTTAGACTTAAAAGTACAGAAGGAGGTACCAGTTACTCAAACATAGTGGTTTGTTGTATGAAGAGGGTTGCCTGGAAGGTGCTGTAGGTTTCCATAGAGGGACTGAATGATAGTGACCCAAAAGAGTGGGAAGAAGGGAAACATAAGTCCTGACCTCACTTCTTTTGTTCTGCCCATCTATTTCCTCACATTGTCACATCCTGAAGCTCAAGAAAAATTACTGATGCCGTCCATCTAGGTCACTTTACCATGTTACGGCACTGGGTAGAGAACAGACAAGGTGGTTCTAAAGGCCAAATGTAAGATACCTAGCATACCTCACTCTCTTGTTTCTTACTGAGGATCACAAGGCTAGCTTACACATTCTGATGCAATGACAGTTTGCTAAATCTACCCCTTAAACTTAAGCCAAGGTGAGTACGTATGCTGAATCATATACTATGATCTACAAGTCAGTGGAAGGTACACACTCTGTATTTCCTGAGATTGTATGTGGTAACTCCAGAAAATCTAAGAAAGTTTGAATTGTTTTTTATTGTCCTAACTGCAAATGCCTGGGGAAAGGCATTCTTTTGGGCCTAGATTGGGTCAGGACCAAATTAACTTTGGTAAATGAACTGTTTCAAATTGGGGCACATACAAAGTCACAAGCAGAAACGCAGTTGCTTGGAACCACTCTTGTAATTATGTGGACCCAAGAATGAAGTAGGACGTTCCATGGATTGAAAGCAAAACCCAATAGCTTTTCAATAATTGTTACCATGTTTATCCATGAGATCTATTCTTACTTAATATAAGCTATCATTATGATAGAATTAGGTGATCTCTAAAGTCAAATTCATAAACCTTCTTTTGATTCACTACTCTGTGAGACTTCCAAGCTCTGCTATGTGTTCAATAAATCGCTAAACTCTCTGAACCTCAACATTATTATTTTTAAAATTGACTTTAATAATACCTGTTCTAACTACCCATTGGGTTTTCATTACCAAAGAACTCTAAATAAATTATTGTAAATGAATATAATGAGATAATGTATTTAAAAGTTCTTTCAGAAATTTTAAGTTGTGTGCATCATTTAAACAACCCCACAGCTATTTATTCTTCTCTTTTACTAATTTCTCAAGTTAGATGCCTAAGTCATTAATTTTCAGTCTTTCCTCCTTTTAAATATAGAATTAAATGCTATCCATTTCACTTTAAATATTAATATAACAGCTGAACCCCATGAGTTGTGTGTTATTTTCATTATCATACAAATCTAAATGTTACCTAATATCTATTATTATATATTCTGGTTCCATTAGTTTTTTAGGCATTGTCTTTTAAAATTACAAATGTATAGATTTTAAAATTCATATTTTTCTTATTGTTTTCTAAATCAATCTCATTGTGATCAGAGAATGAAGTTTGTATTCTTTGAAATATATCATGGTTGATTGTTGCTTTGGTGGCCTCCAATGAACCACACTTCCCTTTATTCATTCTCTTCTGTAATATCCCTACCATATTGATTCTGGCCATGTGATAAGTTATGGACAATAGGACATAAGCAATAATGATACAAGATGGGGTTTGATAAGCACTAGTAATTGGGGCTTGTCCGCTTGGAACATTGCTTCTGGTAACTTAGCTACCATACTGTGAAAAGCCACACAGAGAGGCCACATGTTTGGGTTACTTATCGCTGTGTAACGAAACACCCTAAAATTTAAGGACTTAAAACAATTATTTCTCATTATTTTATGGGTTCACTAGGTACTTCTTCTGCTTAATGTGGTGATGGTAGCTGGGGCACTAGGGCAGGTGGAAAGTCCGAAGTGACTTCATTCATATGACCAACAGTAGTTTCTAGCAGATGCCTAGGAACACAGCTGGAGAAGTTGGCCAGAGGCCTTGTTTCTCTTCCATGGGGTCATTCCCAAACAGTTGCTTGGGTTTTCTCCCAACTTGGCAGCTGGGTTCCAAGAAGGAGTCTTTCAAAAGGCCACAAAATTGCTTCACAGAAAAGCAAAATACTCCAAGGAAGAAACTTGCTCACAGGCAAAGATAACAATGCATTTAAAAAGCATCGACGTTTAAAAAAATCTAGCATACTATATATGGATTTCACAAAAGCAAACGCATTAGAATATTGAGGATAATAATACATAGTTCATCTAATAAGCATACTAAATAATAAAAAAGGAAGATATAAACAACACAAAACAAGAACACAAGAAGATGAGGAAGGAAATCATATCAGGTTGCAAATATATAATCAATGAAATAAACTTTGCAATAGATAAAATAAAGAACAGAATTGATATATGTGAGTAAGAAGTCAGCAAAATTATAGACAAGACTGAAGAAATTTCATAGAAAGAAAAAGGAAAAAAATAGGATGTATAAAAGAAAAGCTAAGATATATACAGCATAGATGTAGGTATCATATCAGAAGGAAAAACATAGTAGAATGATATGAAGCAATAATAAAGATTGTTTTTTCCAAATTAAAAGACATGAAAAACCTCAGAGTGAAAGAGCCTATAGAGGGCCAAAGAAGAGAGATTAGCAACAGTCACACTTACATACACTGAAAGTATATTCATAGAAAATAGAAAAATAAAGAATATATTATAAAAAGCAAAGATCATATGCAAAGTAACAAAAATCAAATTGACATTAGATTTTTCAACAGTGAAACTGGACTTATGAAAATAACGGAGTCAAATACTTTGAAGTACATAAGGAAAATAACTTAGAATGGGCAATTTATATTCAGCCAAATTGTCTTTCAAATGTCAAGTCATTAGAAAAATTATTCTTAAGTACATAAGGCCTCCAGAGTTTTGCCACACAAAGCCAGCCTCACACTGCAAACAGTTTTGGATGAAGTGCTTAAATAAAACAGACAATACAGGGGATAGTACAAGAGATAAATGAAATTAAGGTGATCAAATATTTTCATGGAATTATTGGTATTATGTAAAAATCTAATACCAAGGGAATAAAAGAGAAAATACATTAATAGTAACTCAGAATAAAAATTTTAAAATAATATTTACATGACAGAATTTGGGAGTCAGAGAGAACAAATGTGAAATCATACTACAGTTATTGCCTTATTAAAATGACAAGATAGCATTTTAAAATTAAAGTGATAAAGAATAAAGAAGAAAGAAACATGGAAAAATGGAAATAATAAATGAGTATGATTGAAATAGGTCCAATATATCAATGATTATAACAAATGCAAATGGACTAAGCTGACCAACTAAAGAACAAATATTGACTAACTGGAATAAATGCAAACATATGCAATTTATCATGCAAAGGTTAAAAGTAAAATGATGAAAAAAGACAAACGGGGCAACTATAAACCCAAAGAGGGCTATCGTAGGTATACAAATGTGATATAAAATAGACATTCACGTGCAAAATGGCATTATTAGGAACGGTAAAGGTCACCACACGTAAAGATAAATGTTTACATTGAAGAAGATCTAATAAGGTTAAATACGTATGCGCCTACTAAAATAGCTTGAAAATTTATGAAGTAATATTTGCTAAATCTGCACAGATAAACTGGTGACACTATCTTCCTTTTGAAAATTTCAACACAACTCTCAATTGATAGGTAAATCAGAAAACGAAATTAAAAAGGATATAAAAGATACAAATTACACAATTAACAAGCTTTACCTAACGGATATTAGAATACTCTATAATAAATATTAAGATATATTAATCTATGTGGCTTGGTAGATAGATAGATCAATAGATAGACATGTTACATAGATGATAGTCTTCCAACAATTAGAAAAGTCACATTTTTCTCAAACACACATAAATCATGAAACACTGTATATGTACTAGGCCATACAATAAAGAAAGCCTCAATGAATTTCAAAGATAAACCATATCATATAATGATCTCATATCACTTCAATTACTTTAGAAATTAATAATAGGCCGGGTGCGGTGGCTCACACCTGTAATCCCAGCCCTTTGGGAGGCCAAGGCATGCGGATCACGAGGTCAGGAGATCGAGACCATCCTGGCTAACACGGTGAAACCCCGTCTCTACTAAAAATAAAAAAAAATAGCTAGGCGTAGTGCCAGGCGCCTGTAGTCCCAGCTACTCAGGAGGCTGAGGCAGGAGAACAGGAGAACGGCGTGAACCTGGGAGGCAGGGCTTGCAGTGAGCAGAGATCGCGCCACTGCACTCCAGCCTGGGTGACAGAGCGAGACTCCATCTCAAAAAATAAATAAATAAAATAAAATAAAAATAAATTAATAATAAAAAATGCACCCACCCACATGAAAATTGAATAATATACTTAAACTGAAAAATTCCTTAACACTAATGCATTGTGTTTCTTTTCTGAGTCAGAAAAAGAGGAACAGTATAAACCTAGAAAGAATGGAAGAAAAAAGGTGATAACAATAAGAACAGAAATTAATGAAATAGAATAAAAGATGCAGTAGAAAAGATTAACAAACAAAACTCTGGCAAAGTTAAGCAAGAGACAATGGAAGAAGCAGCATATTAGAAATGAAAAGTGAATGTAGTTACAGATACGATGGAGTTTTTACAGGAAAAGAGACTATTCGCAACTATACACCAACAGCTTTGAAAGCTTACACAACATGCAAAAATTTCTAGAAGAATAGAACATACTAAAACTGAATCAATAATAATTTTATAATGTTTGAATGATCCTATAACTCCAAAGAAATTGAAGCTCTGTTTTAAAATCTTTCCACAAAGTAAACATCAGATTCACATGGTTTAACATATGAGTTCTACCAAATTTTCAGGAAACAGATCATCCCAAAACAAAGTATTCCAGAAAATGGAAGAGGAGGGATTGAAGCTCAATTTATTTTATAAGATAATCACAAATCTAACACTAAAACCAGACACAGACATTAAAAGGAAGGACAATTACAGCTTCATGCATACGACAGTATAATTATATGATCAGTGCAAAAATGTTCAGGGAAATTATTAGCAAATGTAATCTACTTTATTTTTATTGTTATAACATATATTTGATTTGTGTCTTTTTGGTCAGTACTTTATTTGCTCCATGCTTTCCTATAACTTCTTGTTTTTCTAGACTACAACTTTAACATCATTTATATATGTGTATGTATATATGTGTGTGCATATATATATATACACATATATACACACATAGATACTGTAATCATCTCTGTCACTGCACCTATAATATTATATTGTAGTTCTATCTTTTTGTATCCAACTACCACTCTGCATCTTCTTTCTGCTTTGTGTGAGCTACATGGGAACGAGGACAATAATTTATTCACTTTTCTATCACCACTGGCTACTGTGTATCTTACTGACAACAGATGTTCAATAAATATTTGTTGAATAAATTTATGATTATTTTAGTTCAATATATTACATATACTAAAAGCAGGGACACTAAAATAGTAATTTATTTGGCACTGAACAGGTGTATTAAGTTACCTGATTTCATTTGGTCAAACTAACAAAGGGAGTGATAAGATATCACTGAATATATTATACTCTAATGAGGAATCTTTCTTGCTAATACTCTTTTCTTATGTTTTCGATTATTTCTATTATGTCTGTATTAATGTTAATCATACATGGTTTGCATTCTCTATCCAGTGGATATCCTCTGTACCTCTTGAAGTTCTGATCATGTTATTTGCTGTGTCTGCTGACTCTTACTTGTGGTGTATGCATTCTTTATGTGTTTTGTAATTTGAATTTCTTGTTTCTCTTTTTTTTTTTTTCTTTTTGAGACGGAGTCTCGCTCTGTCCCCCAGGCTGGAGTGCAGTGGTGCAATCTTGGCTAACTGCAAGCTCCATTTCCCAGGTTCACACCATTCTCCTGCCTCAGCCTCCCAAGTAGCTGGGACTACAGGTGCCCGCCACCACATGCGGCTAATTTTTTGTATTTTTAGTAGAAATGGGGTTTCGCCATGTTAGCCAGGATGGTGTTCATCTCCTGACCTCCTGATCCGCCCACCTCGGCCTCCCAAAGTGCTGGGATTACAGGCATGAGCCACCACGCCTGGCCCCTGAATTTCTTGTTTCTTAAACAGCTTTCTTTGATATATAATTGATATACAAGCAAGTGCACCTATTTAATGTGTACAATTTAATTAGATATATGAAAACATCCATGATACCTTCTCCCAAAATTTCCATTTGTCCCTTTGTTTTTGTGTTTATTTGTATGTGCGTGTGATAACACATAATGTGAAACATACCCCAATATAAATCTTTGAAGTGCACAATATTGTATGTTCACCTTAGGTAGTATCATACATGAGATCTCTAAATCAGAATAACTGAAACTTTACACTCATTGAACAACTCCTCAATTTCCTCAGCCTCTAGACCCTGGCAAGCACTATTGTATTCCCTGCTTCTATGAGTTTGACTATTTTAAATTCCTCATGTAGGTGAAATCATATATATATATATATATATATATATATATATACACACACACACACACACACACACATATACACACATATATACACACATATATATATACACATATATATTATATATATATTTTATATATATATCAGGTTATTTGCTTTTTTGCTCTTAAGTGTTAGGAGCTCCTTATATATTTTGGAAATTAACTCCTTATTAGATATAAGATTTGCAAATATTTTCTTCAATTCTGTAGGTTGTCTTTTTACTCCATTAACTGTTTGTTTTGCTGTACAGATGTTTTTTAGTTGGATATAGTCCCATTTATCTATTTTTGCTTTTGTCACTTGTGCTTTTGATTTCATATTCAAGAAATAATTCCGAAGACTAATGTCAAGAAGCTTTTCCCCCTGTGTTTTCTCTTAGGAGTTTTTCAGCTTCAGGTCTTACACTAGTTTGTAATCCATTTTGAGTTACTTTTGTATATAGTGAAGGTAGTGGTTCAATTTGTTTTGCCTGTGGATATATTCAGTTTTCCCAGAATCATTTGTTTGAAAAGGCTATCCTCTATTGTGTACTTTCGGCAACCTCATTGAAAACCATTTACCATATATGTGTGGGTTTATTTCTGAGCTCTCTTTTCTGTTCCATGGGTCTATAGCTCTATCCTTAGGCCAATACTATACTATCTTATTGTAGCTTTGTAATATATTTTGAAATCAGGAAATGTGGTGACACTAGCTTTCCTCTTTTTCAACATCTTTGCTGTTATGTAGCTCTGTGGTTCCCTAGGAATTTTAGCATTGTGTTTTCTATTCCTACAAAAAATGTCATTGGGATTTTGATGGGGATAGCCCTGAATCTGAACATCACTTTGGGAACTATGTACATTTTATCAATATTAAGTCTTTCAATCCATGAATATGAGATATTTTCCGATTTATTTGTATCTTTTAATTTTTCTTTTATTAATTGTTGTAGTTTTCAGTGTTAAAGTCTTTTGCCTCCTTGGTTACGTTTATTCTTAAGAAGTTTATTCTTTTCGATGCATTGTAAATGGTGTTGTTTTATTTTCATTTGTTCTTTGATAGTATGTAGAAATGTAACTGATTTTTGTATGTTGACCTTGTCTACTACAACTTTATTGAATTTGTTTATTATTTCAGTTTTTTGTGAAGTCTTTAGGATTTTCTACATATAGGATCATGTAATCTGCAAACAGAAACAATTGTACTTACTTCTTTTATTTCTTTTTTTCTTACCTAATTACTCTAGCTATAATTTCTAGTACTACTTTGAGTAGAAGTGGTGAGCATGAGCATCTTTGTCTTATTCCTAATCTCAGAAGACAAACTTTCGATTTTTCAGTGTTGAAAGTGAAGTTAGCTGTGGGCACCTATATTGATCAGGGATGCTAGCATGTAATTTTATTTTCTTGTGGTGTCCTTGGCTTTTATATCAGGGTAATGCTGGCCCCATAAAATGAATTTGGAAATGTTCCCTCCTCTTCAGTTTTCTGGCTTTTCTTTTTTGGGAGTTTTTTTTTTATTAATAATTCAATCTTCTCACTCATTTTTGGTCTATTCACAATTTCTATTTCTTCATGATGAGTATTGATAGGTTGTATATAACTAGAAAGTTTTAAATTTATTTTTGGTTGTCTAGTTTTGCTGACATATTTTCATGGTAATCTCTTAGGATCATTTTTATTTCTGTGGCATCAGTTGTAATGTGTCCTCTTTCATTTCTGATTTTATTTATTTGAATCTCCTACATTTTTTCTCCATCTAGCTAAAGGTTTGGCAATGTTGTTTAGCTTTGTAAAAAACAACTCTTGCTTTCACTGATTTTTTTCTATTGTTTTCCTAGTCTCTACTTTGTTTATTTCTGTTCTAATATCTATTATTTCCCACCTTTGGCTAACTTTGGGCTTAGTTGTTTTTTTTTTTTTTTTTCATTTTTTATTTTTTATTTTTTTTTATTTTTTTCCCAGTTCCTTTCTAGTAAAGTTAGGTTGTATACTTGTGATCTTTCTTCTTTTTTAATGTAAACATTTTGAGCAGAGTTTGTGTTTGAGTACCATGCATGAACTAGGTTGAGGATTTGTACCTCCGAGAAATTTCTATTTTCTTCTGCTGGCTTCCCAATAATATTGCCAGGTCACTGCTACATTTTATGCCAATTACCCAGTGTAAAAATGTTGGGGGCATGCAAGTAGTATACATTTGAACCCTAAAACAGAGTGCAGACACATGTTTACTAATTCTGCAATTATAACAAGTCTAAATTAGTCAAGCTTTATTTTCTTTTTACTCTGTAGATGGACAGGTATTTCCCACCATTCAACTAATGGTGTAACTCATTAGGACATCATTAGGACCTCAGCTATATGCAAGTGCTTCCATTCTTAAATCCCCATTTTCTATGAGCTCAAAGCCTCCCGTAATCATGACCTTTCAAATACAAACTCCTGACTTATTAAGAAAAGCAAATTCACTCAGTCTCTTGCTGTGCACTTCTGTTCTCTCTCTTCATTTTATTCCCTAGGATTTCCCTAATTGTATTGTGAGTTCAGGTATTCAGTTGAAATAATGTTGTTTTATTATATTGGGCATTTCTTGGTGATTTTAGTTTTGTATTTCTGTTTACCTGGAGAGTTTTCAGAATACTTTGTCTGTCATGTTAGTGGAAATGTAAGTCTGTTTTCTTTTTTATTCATTCATATAAATTCATTTATATCATTTTCTTCAAATCTAAATTGGTGAATATAAAATTTTCACTAAAGATTTTGCAGCAGATATATTCTCTATAATTACAAAAGCATCTAACACTCTACAATGTATATCATAAATATCCTAAAAATAAAATGTAAAGATAGATGTTGAAACCAATTGAAAATACTGGCATTTTTTATTCATAACCATATGATACTTGGTTATTCACATCTGATCTATTTCTTGCCTTCCTGATATCTTCTAGATTTTGTCATATATATTTTTTTGCAGTTCCTGCCTCTGGCACAGCTAGAAACATAAGCCCATTGGGATTTTCAATACTATGACTATGAATTAAATTACTTTGTCATCTGAACCAGAAAGTGAACAACAAACTCAGTAACGGTTAAAACCAAAGACTTGACAGGTAACGACAGTCCACCCTCTCCCTCAGCGCATGGAGATTGCAGCAGTTTGTGTTAGAGGTCTTAAATGTCAAAATTTCCTGCCCAGGATGTAGAAGGTAAAAACATGCTTAATCTTGAACCTCGCAATAGAGTAACTGTTAAGGACAGTTTTTTGATGCTTCTGGTATAATATTTCCTTGTTTACTTCAAGAGGCACCTTTCGGAATTTCTGGAACAAAGATAAGGTGCCTGTGCTAATAGTAAGGTAAAACGACTTGAAGCTAATGTTTTACTCATTTTTTTCTTTCATTATTTGAGTATAAGTTGCCTAGATGGGTTAACTGCTCTTGAAGCCCGTGCAGACCAGTGATTTCTTTCCATATTTCCCTCATCCTGGTAGTCTATGGTGTCTTGTTTGTACTCTGTGTCTTTGCAGCAATGTCTCTTCTCACTTCAGGATGTTGATAGAGCGATAGCTGGCTGAGCTACAGTTTATGAGTGTACGACAATAAATTACCTCTCGTTTTTGACCTGACAGTCTTAAGTAGATTCATATTATTGCAACTAAGAGTGATTTTTAAACCACAGTGAAACAGAACAATTTTGTAGCTTTTACCTTTGGATATGGAGTGTAATACGTGATTTAGAGACCTTATATAAATATCCTGTTTTTCCTTTATAAAATGTTCTCTTTACAATGTTGACTTCCAAGAACTTATAGAATTATCCATTATTTCCAATTTATTGAACTTTTAAATTGAAAATAACACCTTTTGTATATCTCATCTTTAGTGTTCTCAGATTTGTAGACAGTACAAAAGCTTGATCTAATTTTACCAATATTCTCTAGCACAAAGCTCTCCATAGCCTCATTTCCCACTAATCCCTTGTTCATGATGCAGCCACACTGGACTATGGATTTCTTTTATTAATTACCAAAACACTTACCTCATCCCTTTTTCCTACATTAGCCTGTGTAAGCCAGATAGGAGGCCCTGAAGGAAATCTAAGTATTTCATCTCCAAATATATTTCTTTGATATATTTTTAAATAGCTCTGCAAAGCTGTCTCTTCTGGGAGAAATTTACACTCCTTAGAGAATGTTTCCCTTACTAGGTCTTTTCCAGGGGAGTCTGACACCTTTTAAGGTCTCATAAGAGATACTCACCATCTATTCTTTTTGAAGCTTGCTATCTACAAGTTTCATCTATGTGACAAGAACCTGGGCTTTCACAACCACTCTTATCTTAACTCAAGCTGATTTCAATGCTTTAGGTAGAGCTTAATTCTTTCAACTAATTGTCAATCAGGAAATCTTTGAATCCACCTATGAACTGGAAGCCCCACTTTGAGATGGCCTGCTTTTCCAGGCCAAACCAATGTATACCTTATGTGTAATGATTTATGTCTTTGTCTGTAACTTCTGTCTCCCTAAAATGCATAAAACCAAGCAGTAACCCAACCACACGGGGCACATGTTCTCAGGACCTCCTGAGGCTGTGTCACAGGCCATAGTTCTTAATCTTGGCAAAATGAACCTCTAAATTGATTGAGATCTAACTCAGATACTTTTTGATTTATACCTGTCAACTCTTGAAGGTGGAGAATCTGTCCTTTTTTATCTTTAATCTTCCATGGTGTCTAGGCTTTCTTGATAAGAGTAGGTGTTCAACAAATGCTGAACTGAATTAAACCTAAAATCCAAATTTAGACATCACTTATTTTCTTTGTAGAGCAAAATTGCCACAATTTCCACAGATATCTAATTAACTCAAATTTCATATTTTATGTTCTTATTTTTTATTCTTCTCTTTTTTTTTCCAATATGAGGATGAAACTTCAGTCAGGTTGTATTTTGTCAGAGTTCTACAGAGGGATAGAGCTACAAGAATATATGTATGTATGAAAGGGAATTTATTAAGGAGAACTGACTCACATGAGCACAACGTAAAGTCCCACGATAGGCTGTCTATAAGTTGAGAAGAAAGGAAGCCAGTAGTGGCTCAGCCCAAGTCCCAAAACCTCAAAAGTAGGGAAGCTGACAATGCAGCCTTCATTCTTTGGCCAAAGGCCTGAAAGCCCCTGGTAAACCACTGGTGTAAGTCCAAGAGTCCAAAAACACAAGAGCCTGGAGTCTGATGTTTGAGGGCAGGAAGCATCTAGCATGGGAGAAATGATGAAGGTCAGAAGACTCAGCAAGTCAGCTCATTCCACCTTCTTCCGCCTGCTTTATTCTAGCTGTACTGGCAGCTGACTGAATAGTGCTCACACACATTGAGGGTGAGTCTGTGTCTCCCAGGCCACTGACTTAAATGTTAATCCCCTTTGCCAACACCCTCACAAACACACCCAGAAACAATACTTTGCATCCTTCAATCCAAGCAAGTTGACACTCCGTATTAACCATCACACAGGTCTAAAGCCTATGCCTTACGGGGTGGACGCCTGCAGCTGGCCTCTCTCGGATTTAATCCAGGCCACAGTGCCTTGTACTAGCCCATTTACTTATAAAGTGAGTGAACAGATATGAATGTCCAAGGTCAATATGCATTAATACTCCAATGCAGTTGATTTATTCATGACTGCATGAATCCAGGAGGCTGACATGAAATCAGACTTTCTTCATGCCTCTCAGAAAAGTTGGAGGGTGCCATAGGGGAATGAATCCTCTCCCTCAGTAGAAAACAAAGAGGGGGTGGTCAGGTTTCTCCTTTTCAAAGTCCTTCCATTAGAAAACAAAAATGGACGGAGTCTCGCTCTGTCACCCAGGCTGGGGTGCAGTGGCGCAATCTCGGCTCACTGCAAGCTCCGCCTCCCAGGTTCACACCATTCTCCTGCCTCAGCCTCCTGAGTAGCTGGGACTACAGGCGCCCGCCACCATGCCTGGCTAATTTTTTGTATTTTCAGTAGAGACAGGGTTTCACCGTGTTAGCCAGGATGGTCTCGATCTCCTGACCTCGTGATCCGCCTGCCTCGGCCTCCCAAAGTGCTGGGATTAGAGGCATGAGCCACCCTGCAAAAAGAGGAAGTGAAATTGTCACTGTTTACAGATGACATGATTGTATATCTAGAAAACCCCATCGTCTCAGACCAAAATCTCCTTAAGCTGATAGGCAACTTCAGCAAAGTCTGAGGATATAAAATCAATGTGCAAAAATCACAAGCATTCTTATACACCAACAATAGACAAACAGAGAGCCAAATCATGAGTGAACTCCCATTCACAATTGCTTCAAAGAGAATAAAATACCTAGGAATCCAACTTACAAGGGATGTGAAGGACCTCTTCAAGGAGAACTACACACCACTGCTCAATGAAACAAAAGAGGATACAAACAAATGGAAGAACATTCCATGCTCATGGGTAGGAAGAATCAATATCGTGAAAATGGCCATACTGCCCAAGGTAATGTATAGATTCAATGCCATCCCCATCAAGCTACCAATGACTTTCTTCACAGAATTGGAAAAAACTACTTTAAAGTTCGTATGGAACCAAAAAAGAGCCTGCATTGCCAAGTCAATCCTAAGCCAAAAGAACAAAGCTGGAGGCATCACGCTACCTGACTTCAAACTATACTACAAGGCTACAGTAACCAAAACAGCATGGTACTGGTATCAAAACAGAGATATAGACCAATGGAACAGAACAGAGCCCTCAGAAATAATGCCACATATCTACAACCATCTGATCTTTGACAAACCTGACAAAAACAAGCAATGGGGAAAGGATTCCCTATTTAATAAATGGTGCTGGGAAAACTGGCTAGCCATATGCAGAAAGCTGAAACTGGATCCCTTCCTTACACCTTATACAAAAATTAATTCAAGATGGATTAAAGTCTTAAACGTTAGACCTAAAACCATAAAAACCCTAGAAGAAAACCTAGGCATTACCATTCAGGACATAGGCATGGGCAAGGACTTCATGTCTAAAACACCAAAAGCAATGGCAACAAAAGACAAAATTGACAAATGGGATCTAATTAAACTAAAGAGCTTCTGTACAGCAAAAGAAACCACCATCAGAGTGAACGGGCAACCTACAGAATGGGAGAAAATTTTTGCAATCTACTCATCTGACAAAGGGCTAATATCCAGAATCTACAATGAACTCCAACAAATTTACAAGAAAAAAACAAACAACCCCATCAAAAAGTGGGCAAAGGATATGAACAGACACTTCTCAAAAGAAGATATTTATGCAGCCAAAAGACACATGAAAAAATGCCCATCATCACTGGCCATCAGAGAAATGCAAATCAAAACCACAATGAGATACCGTCTCACACCAGTTAGAATGGCAATCATTAAAAAGTCAGGAAACAACAGGTGCTGGAGAGGATACGGAGAAATAGGAACACTTTTACACTGTTGGTGGGACTGTAAACTAGTTCAACCATTGTGGAAGTCAGTGTGGCAATTCCTCAGAGATCTAGAACTAGAAATACCATTTGACCCAGCCATCCCATTACTGGGTATATACCCAAAGGATTATCAATCATGCTGCTATAAAGACACATGCACATGTATGTTTATTGCAGCACTATTCACAATAGCAAAGACTTGGAACCAACCCAAATGTCCAACAATGATAGACTGCATTAAGAAAATGTGGCACATATACACCATGGAATACTATGCAGCCATAAAAGATGATGAGTTCATGTCCTTTGTAGGGACATGGATGAAGCTGGAAACCATCATTCTCAGCAAACTATCGCAAGGACAAAAAACCAAACACCACATGTTCTCACTCATAGGTGGGAATTGAACAATGAGAACACATGGACACAGGAAGGGGAACATCACATACTGGGGCCTGTTGTGGGGTGGGAGAAGCGAGGAGGGATAGCATTAGGAGATATACCTAATGTTAAATGACGAGTTAATGGGTGCAGCACACCAACATGGCACATGTATACATATGTAACAGACCTGCACGTTGTGCACATGTACCCTAAAACTTAAAGTATAATAAAAAAGAAAAAGAAAACAAAACAAAAATGGAGGTGGTCAGGTTTATCTTTTTGAAAGAATTGATGGAATTCTTATGCTGATTATTCAATATTATTGACAATTATATGGCCTTGTGTGAGGCCAGAAGAGTTGCATCTCCAACAGGGAAAATGCAACTGTATCTCTTTCTCTGTGCAACAATTTTACATCAGTTAGTTTGCAGTAAATTTTACTAAGGAACCTATATCATGTATCTCTGTGTTGATATTACTGCCACCCTTATGACACTTGTCTTAGCTGTTCTGTATAATACAGAAGCATTATTATGGGAATATAAATAGTATTTTTAAACAGAAACTCTATAATTTATACAAACAAACAGGTGCTGTCATTTTTTGAACTCCTCTTCAACAATTTTTTTATTGAAAGAAAATCTTCAGCTAAATTAAATTTAACAGAGTTTAATTGAGCAAAGGATGATTCACAAATCTGTCAGCCTCCTGAGCCAAAGTAGGCTCAGACCCTCTAGCACAGCCATGTGGTGGAAGAGGATTTATTCACAGAAGAAGAAAAGTGATGTACAGAAAATGAAAGTGAGGTACAGAAACAGAGCGGTTATAGCTCAGCATTTGTCTTATTTGAACACCGTTTGAACAGTTGGCCACGTCTGATTGGCCAAAACTTGGTGACTGGCAAAAGAGTAGACTTCAGTCTGTTTAAAATTCCATTTAGATTGTAGTTCACTATGTACAGAGAAACCTTTAGGCTGAACTTAAAATATGTAAGGAGATAGCTTTAGGCTAAACTTGATTTAAAAATTCCCCCTTTTTCTTCATCCTCACACTTTTGAGAGATTGGCCAAACTCTAGTCATCAGTGTTACTCTCACCATCATAAATGTACTTATTTGGTCTTGAAAACCACTGGGGAACAGTAGAACAGTGAGTTTTGTAAGGTAGGAACTGGGATTTCAGGTTATTTTTTTAAGGGTTAGAGTATAGGTTAACTCCTTATGTTGGAATATCCTGTTTACAGGAGAAAAAACAAAACCTGGTTTCTTCTAAGATCTATGTTGTCTTAAAGTCTTAGTTTAATTATGTCACATTTAGCACAAGTGAATCTATTTTGGTTTGGTCTGGTCTGTTGGGCCCTAGTGCATAAGCTTAGTCCAAAACAATGACCTCCCATACTTTTGTTTTAAAATTTCCCCCTTTTGGCCAGGTTCTCACTTAGGTAAGAGTGTGACAAAAACTTAGGTCCTTCGTGCCACTCTAAGTTACCATCATTTTTTTTTATCTGAACATATTATTCATAGGTTATAGTGTCCTCATGGTCGCACATTTCTTTCAGCTCTTGTCATTTTAGCTGAAGAGAGACCATTTGACACTCTGTATGCATTCAACATTTAAAACTTTTGAGAGAATACAGCTCATCAGGGAGACTACCACTATGACTATCAGGAGGATAATACTCCAAACTCTTAGAGTTTGGAGTACGCTCCTTACCTAGCACCCTCATAAACCAAACCAACTAAAATAAAAGAGATGAAAGAATGAGCTAAATAGTCTACTCGCTTTAACTGAGAAGTCTCTTCATTAATCCCTGAAAACGGAATCTCTATAATACGTGATGTGATGTATTTCTCCATGGGAAACAAGTGCCAGAAGCTACACTGATACTTCTCTGTTTAGGTAGTAAATAATGTAGAACAATTCTATTATCTAGCATAACTTTCACAAGATAATTTAAAGTCCGTTGTGTAACCATAGCCTTTACAGTACAGTCGGCTATAGAGCCTATCATGAGGAACAAATTACTAATCATGGCCTCTTTTATTCCAAACCACGGAAAAAGGGACCTAACAATGATGCCCTTCTAGAAGAGCAAACACTTCCAGGCAATGTTCTCTTTAACCCATGATGTAATTTAAGAGGAGTGAAACTGGTTTCTGACTGGTTATGAAGCAATATATGTACCATTAAAATTTCTCAGCTACACTGGGGCTTCATGCCTTCATCTTTCATCTACCAAGGTATAAGGTTATCCATGTATAAGGCTGGCTGCAAAATCCTTCATAAATAAAAGTATACCCCAAGAGGGAACACAACGGACCCTCTTTTCACTTCTGTTGTTTATAGAGGCATAAGCAAGGTGGAAAAAAATCACAGATAAGAGTCTCAGCTGGGCACGGTGGCTCATGGCTATAATCCCAGCACTTTGGGAGGCCGAGGTAGGCGGATCACTTGAGGTTGGGAGTGCGAGACCAGCCTGACCAACATGGAGAAACCCCGTCTCTACTAAAAATACAAAAGTAGCCAGGTGTGGTGGCACATGCCTGTAATCCCAGCTACTTGGGAGGTTGAGGCAGGAGAATTGCTTGAACACAGGAGGCGGAGGTTGTGGTGAGCTGAGATCGCACCATTGCACTCCAGCCTGGGCAACAAAATCGAAACTCCATCTCAAAAAACAAAAAAAAAGTCTCATGACAGTAGAGAAGTCTTGATCCATGATCTTGGGAAAAAGCTGTTCACATCAAGGATGGCGTTTTCTTCTAGGGAGTACCTCCCTTGAGTAGCTTTACCTTAAGGTTTCCAATGAGTGTACAATTACAAGAATGATGACCCTTCTCAATTCTGAGATATGATCCCAAGGTTCAAGGTCCCAAAGTTTTGCTGCAGTGTGGATGGCAAAAGCAGACTTTCTCTGATGTTCTCAAAAGATCCAGTCTTCAGGTTCTAGATGTGAAGGGGATGATTATCCTCAGTAAACCATGAAAAGCTTTCTTTGCCTGGTGAAAATACACTGTGGCATAAGAAGCTGCTGTAAAAAAAAAAAATCAACCCCTTTGCATGGGAAACCTTTTCTACAACAGAAAACATGCATTTGAGACAGCAAGGTGGATGAGGGTCCTTGGGAAAACTCCAAGTAGCCCATACACTGGGGTAGGACCTTGGGAAATTTGCACCATTTGCAATGGGGAGGAGCCTGGCCCCTCCTCTTCCTGTGTGAAACCTGGGATTCAAGCTGCCAGCGGGAAGGACTAAGCAGGGACTGTGGCCTAAAGGAGTCCCTGTTTCCCCTTTTTCTTCCTTTTCACCCAGTAAATCCCTGTCTTACTCACCATTCAAATTGTCTGCGAGCCTCAATTTTCATGGCTGTGGGACAAAGAACCCCATTTTTAAGTGAACTAAGGGAAAGTCCTGCAGTATTTTTGGCACACAATGTGGGAACTCAAGAAGTGGTGAGTGAAATGGGGACTCAAAACCTCTCACTGTTGCTTCTAAGCCTTTTCATCCTCAGATTTCTGAGGGTGGGGAAAACCATGCCCCCACCTTCCCATCGCTCCTGTGCCTTGTCATGGCTTTTTCTTTTCTTTTTCGGGAGGGACCAGCGAGCAGCAGCTACCCTCCACCCCCCACTCCCTGCTAGGCCTGGGACACATGGTCCAAGGGTCCTGCACAGCTGGCTGGCTGGTTCCCAGCCACGCACCACTGCCACAGCCTTCCCCTTTCTTGGCCAAGGGGTTTAACTCAATCAGGCAGTAATTAAGCTTCAACTTTTCTTTCCGGTGGAGGAAACAGTTGAATAAGAGGTTTCTCCCAAGGCATTTTTAAACTGTTTCTTTCTTTTCCTTCTCTACCCCATCAGTAGTTAACTTTTGAGGGTTTTTTCCTCTTTTAGAAGATGTTTTACTAGGCCAGGCCCCCCCCACCTATCACTGTATTCTCTGCAAAATTTTGGTTGTGACATCAAGCCTCCATCTTGCTTTACATCCGGGCGCCATGGCCAGTAACCACTTGGCAAGGCTTTGTGTAGCACTCCTGCCTGAGGGGATGAGCCCTCTGTGGTTCCATATCTGCATGTTTTCCTAGCCCTGTCTCTTAAAGGGCCCTACCCAGCGACTGGGTTTTCTTCTGCCTGTGTGTGTGTGTACTGTGTGTGATATCTGTTAAAGGAGCTCTAATTAATTTGGCCTAAAGAAAGACAAGCGCGGGCCAGGTGCGGTGGCTCATGCCACCACTTTGTCAGCACTTTGGGAGGCCGAGGTGGGCGGATCACCAGGTCAGGAGATCAAGACCATCCTGGCCAACATGGTCAAACCCCATCTTTACTAAAAGTACAAAAATTAGCTGGGCATAGTGGCGCATGCCTGTAGTCCCAGCTACTCGGGAAGATGAGGCAGGAGAATTGCTTGAACCCAGGAGGCAGAGGTTGCAGTGAGCTGAGATCACGCCCCTGCACGAAAGAGAAAGAAAGAAAGGGAGGGAGGGAGGGAAGGAGGGAAGGAAGAAAGGGAGAGAGGGAGAGAGGGAGAGAGGGAGAGAGGGAGAGAGGGAGAGAGGGAGAGAGGGAGAGAGGGAGAGAGGGAGAGAGGGAGAGAGGGAGGGAAAGAGGGAGAGAGGGAGGGAGGGAGAGAGGGAGGGAGGGAGGGAGAGAGGGAGGGAGGGAGGGAGGGGAGAAAGACAAGCGCTTGGATCAAGTATTTTGTTTTTAAGGGAAGCTAAAAGCTGTGGTACCTTTCAGTTCAGATGACTTTAATCTTTGAGAAATAAAAACAGCCTTAAAGATTATTGGTAAAAT
The DNA here is from genome assembly GCF_000001405.40 of Homo sapiens. NCBI lineage: Eukaryota > Metazoa > Chordata > Mammalia > Primates > Hominidae > Homo > Homo sapiens. Next base: position 145,468,857 of record NC_000023.11, read on the forward strand.
GCAGGTCAGATGCAAGGTTTGCTAAGAGTTCTGAGGTTACAAGGTGCTTTTTGGGTTTTGAGAAGTACTTGACTTGCCGGCTTCACAATTGGTAAGGCCTGGGACATATGGAACTTAACCACGCCCTTAATTATGCTGGAGTCAAACTTTGGCTGCACTTAGCACACAGTTAAAGCAACTTAGCAAGTTTTACCTTAAAGTTAAAAATTTCTAGGAGTTATCATTTGGACATGTAATTGAAACTACTGAAAATAGATTTACATGCAAGGTGTGTAAGAACAATAAAATGTGTGGTTTTTTCTTTTTTCTTTTTTTTTTTTAGTAAAAGGATATAATGAGTCATGGAAATGTAAATTTTTGCCTGGGGTTAAAGGATTGTATTAAATTAGATAAGAAAAACCTGAAGGTTCAAAGAAGTGGTGGAAGAATTGTGGAAATTAATCTTGCGGAAGAGGTTCTCTGTGTGAACTTATTGACTAAATTCAAAAAAGGGCATTCTATGGTTTTTCTGTAAATTGAGCATTGAAATAAAAGCATAACAAGGTTTTCCTAAGGCACTAATCTGCCCTTTGGCAACATTTTTAAAGGGTTACAAAGGGTTTCTGCTTCTTAAAATTTCAGAGTCATCATTTTGGCAAAATAAATAACTTATGTTAATCTGGAATTCCATTTCATAATACCAAGTGTTTTAAACTTAACATATTTAACTGCCTTCCCAAAATCAAACTTAAGTTTCAAAACTGTCTTTCCTGACACCTGGCTTTTCATATACTTCAGAAGGCCTATGAATTCTCCAGAAAAGAGGTAAACAGGATTATTTAACATGTTTAGGTACATGGGATTGCCAAAATGATGTTCAATCTTCTTTAGGTTATATCTTTGGTGAATAATGTTAATATATGTTCCAAAATGGTATGGGATTTCTAAAATTCTAATGTCTGATATATGCTATCAATCATAATAAAGGCTGTTAGGTTAAGTTATAGTAAATCACGAAGATAACCAATTTCAATTGTGTCTCTAACTGTAACTACCCTGGACATTTTGTTATTCACAGACAACTGTTGTCTTGCTTTAATCCTTTTCAAAGATGGTTTACAATAAGCCATAGGACTCTGACACGTGCTCTCAAATACAATTTCTGATTTTATTTGAGACAATCAAGTTTCTGATAAATTTGGAGATTATAACATTGGAATAAAGGAAAATGTACAGGACTCATGAAGAGCTGAAATGCTCACAAATATCAAGCAAAACAAGAGTTAACCAAATGGACTAAACTCAGAAACTGAAGCAATCCTTTTAGCCTTTGCGTGGAATATTGGTGATCCTTGTTTTGTTTTTCACAGTCAACTTATTTTGAACTATTTATGGCCTTTAATAATTGAGTGAGGTATACTCCTATGACCAAGATTTGGAGCATGTTTGTTTCTCTCTGCTTGGTTCCTCTAGAATTTGGAAACTATGTATTCTTAACTTATGGCAATGTAGTCCTTTGCATCACTGCAGTAAGAATACTTTTTTTTTTTTTTTTGCAACAAGACACAATTTAAAAAAGTGGTAGTTTTACCAAGGCTTTGACTGGAATGGTATGCTTCCCTTTAAAGAGTCAATCTCGACTTGCAGAGCCAATAAAAGCCCAGTGGGGAAACTGGCCTCATAACCCTCATCTACACAGTCCCTGTATAGGGTTCCTGACCGGTGGTCAATAAGGAATGTCACTTTCTAACAGGTCTAGGAGTTTCAAGTTTATCTTGGGACCTTAAGAGGAGAGAATCACCCAACTTGCAGGTATTTGAAGATACAAACTTATGGCTGGGCTTGGCTTTAAAAGGTCTTATCTGAGATTCCTTGGGGAACAGAGTTTCATGAAAGCCAATCCAAAAGGCTTATGTAGAAATAATTATTCTCGCTGCACTTTACGCAAATAATCAGGCCAAGTATAAGACTAAAGTATTCTGTAAACCACTCGGTCCTATAATAATTTGTTTTTTAAACAAACATGAGGACTGGAGAGACAGAAATCATGTTTCAAAACTTATCATACATTTGTCATTAAATTATAATCCCATTAGTTGTTTTTAAGTTTTCGCCTACATTTTTAGACTAACCCGGCTTGGTCCTGTGAAACAACCAACAATCTCTGGCTGCAGCTCAGAAAGAACAAAAGGGATGGGTAATGTAGAAATCCGGGTCAATACTCTAGTTCTAGGCAATTAGCCTGCAAATCCTGCCAGGTGATACGAATAAATAGGATGCCCGTCACCTGGAGGTTTCCTTTTTGGGAAAGTAAGACGAAGGGAGCTAACCAAATACAAGCACCTGTGCCCAAATCTTAGTAAGCATAACTATAGCCACCAATTATCTGGGTGTGTCACAAGACATCCTTTTCTCTCTCCCTTGTTGGAAGAGGACTCAGTTCCACAGTTTCACCTTAGCATTCGACTTAACAATAAGGAGTCCACGCAACCCCCACCACCAGACACATTTTTGTCCCAGACTCAGTTCCAAGCTTCGAGTCAAAGCCCTAGAAAAGAAAACTGGATCGGAGGGATCCAGAGGCAAATGACAAAAGTGGTTAAAAGGCACAGCAAAGGTGAGCGTGGCTGATTCTTGCCAATTAAGCCAACCCCAAGCTTCCCGTATCATGGATAAAGGCCAGGTTAATATCCATGGCATAAATGAGGTCTAGGGCACTCCAAGCTACGTACAGTAGTGGGTTTAGAGGCATAGATGAGAGCAGATAACTCCTATTCTCTAGGCCCTTTGTGCTTCCTGGATGCAAGCCACTTTAGCACTCATGGCGGAACCTGCCAAGGTTACTGGGACTCAGAGATGCAAGGATGGAAGAGGTAAAGGGGACACTCTTCCCTCTCTCCCTCACGTACCGTGGGTATCTGCTAGGAAGAGAAGGGAACCAGGGATGCCTGCTCCCCTCTTTCTAGATGGATAGCCATTCATTTTCAGTCTGTACCCCTTTAGAATGCATCATGAACCCCTGGGACTCCTTTGAAAAAAATGCCTTCTTTTTTCCTTTCTTCTCCTCTGTCTTCTCTTCACTGATAGATAACTGTGTCTCTGCACTAAAAGACACTTCCCTCAGATGCATCCTCCAAACTGGAAAGAGTTAATTTCCCAAATCTTAAACTAGTTGGCTTAGGATTGGGCTCAGGAGAAGGGAACCCAGAAGCCCAACATGCCAGGAAAGGGTAAAGTGTTTTTACCAGTCAGGCTTTTGGCTTCCCTCTCCCTGTGCAAACTGGTAAAAAGCCTCAGAATTTTTGAGCTGACCGTACCCCTCCCCTTGTTTCATTTTGATACATGTTTTCTAATAACTTGGTTTGTCTGTTCTTGCCTTCAGACCATCAAACTCCAAACAGTCATACAACCAGAGCATCTGACAATGGCCCCTTCTGCTGGAAATCTTTAGGTTGGCCTCTGAGGGAGCTCTGACTGCCATTTTCCCAAAACAGCACCCCCTGTCAGCAGGAAGCAGTTAAGATGGGTCTTCATGCTTATATTTAATCTAACGGCAGTTAGATGTACTTCTTTAGGGCGGGGGAATGATATAGCCAGGTGGGAGAGGGTCCCCGGAAAAACTCGCGCTGGGGTGGAACCTTGGGGAGTTTGTACCATTTGCAGTGGGGAGGGGCCTGGCCCCGCCTCTTCCTGTGTGGAACCTGGGATTCAAGTTGGCTGGCGGGGGGAAGCACTAAGCAGAAACTGTGGCCTACCAAGAATCCCTTGTTTTCTCCTTTTCTTCCTTTTCACTAAATAAAATCTTGTCTTACCATTCAAATTGTCAGCAAGCATCAATTTTCATGGACTTGGGACAAAGAACCCTATCTTTAGCTGAACCAAGGAAAAGTCTTACAACACACTGAAGATGACAATTTAATGAAATCACTCTGTAAATGTTTAAGTGGCCCATCAGGTAGCAGAATGTACCTGAATCTTTCATTGTCTTCCCAGGAATATTGGTCTGACAAACAAAACTTTGGTCATAAACTATTTTAGCAATTTAGAAGTCACCATACCAATATATATTTAATTTTGATCATCTTATCTTTTCCATGATGAGTCATGGAATGCAGAACTTTTAATAACAAACGGTTTAAGAACTCAGGAAGGACAGGTGGCCATCCTGGTTCTCCCCGAGTCCATGTTTAACACTGGACAAACTTAACGTCCTTTCGAATACTAGTTGTTTCTCCAATTTAGGTACATAGCACTGATGGCTGATGGATTATCATAGGTAATTTGACTTAGACCGTGGAGTTCACTCAAATCATACATTTAAACAATATCAGTATTGGCTGATTTAGCATATCTGGCAACATAAACTTCTTGGTATTTAATTGATTTTTGTTCTACTTGGGCTAGCAGTTTTATAAACCAGTCAGTCTTTTCACTGAAGTTCCAGAAATTCTTAACCGTCCAAAAGAAATGATTCTAAAGTTATAAGAAACCTGAATTCAAGAGTGGTTTTCAGAATCCTTTGCATCCTTTCAAGAACCTTCTTAAAGATACCATATTCTAGGATTTTGTGTGCTTGTGAAGTTTTAAGAAACAGCATCAGAATTAAGCAATTAACTCTGGAAATGACTTTAAATAGTCATAACGACACAAGTGACAAGGAAATTTGGTTATTTCTGTGGTCCATAATAATATAAGAACCGTAATTATAATTAGTAGCATATACTCAGACATGTGCAAATTTTAGAAATCTCACATAAATTTGGAACATATATTAATAACATTCATTAAAATTTAACCTGAAGAAGGTTAAACATTATTTCTTATTTTGACAATGTTTTCCATGTAACATAACATGTCAAATAATCCTGTTACTTCTCTTTTGGATGCTTCAGGGAGCCCTCCGTAGCATCTCAAAGTTAGAGGTCAAAAAAAATACTTAACTTTGAAGCTGAAATTTGATTTTATGCCAATAATTTAAAGGTTTAAAAAGTGACCAAAGTGGAATCGCAGATCACAGTTAAACAACAGTCATTAATATAACCAAAGTGATAATTAAAAGATATTTAAAAACAAATATTTATCATACCTGTACTCTTTGATAAAGGAGACTTAGTTTTCTAAGCAATCAAAATACTTAAGACAGCATGAGACAAAAGCTGTCTCCTCTTGTTTTCTCTTTCCTTTTTTTCAGTTTACTCAAAAAGTGAATGAAAATATTTTACTGTCTTATTAATACTACACAAAATTTTTTTCAAAAGAGAAAAAAGAGAAAACATAATTTACTTCCGTATTAGTGTACTATTAATACAAAAACTAAATTTAATAAAACCTCATAAAAATTTATCAAATTTGTCATCTTTTAACTGTAAGATTTCTATAAACATTTTATATTTTTCCTCAACTTTCTATATTTATCTTGTTTTATCTATTTTTTACTCCTTCAGTTTGAAGACTTTAAGTAACTTTAAACCAGACAAAATTTTTAACACACATTTTTATGCTTTTATAACTTTCCTTATCAAATGCATATTTTGCTTTGGTTATACACTATATACAGAATTGTTTCTCTCATATGTAGTTGTTTTTAATGCCTAATAACTGGAAATTTCTAGTAAAAACCCTAGAAAGAAATTTTGAACTGTTTTATGTTAGGATTTGCAAATTTAAAACCATTTTATAATTTTTGAGAAAAATAGTTTTTCAAATTATTGTTTATTGACAGATCTAAATATATTTACCTTGTCTATACCACGTAAAAGTAAGATGTCAAGGTATATAGACTTAAACTCAAGTTCAGTAATTAATATTTCAGTATCTTAACTTACAAATGACTCAGACATTTTATGATTTTTAGAAATGCTTGTTCCCCGGTGCCATAAAGAAATAGCACTTGGGCATAAATTTAATTTCCTCAAAAAGGCCATTTTTACTTTCTGCAGAAAGGGTACACTCACCAGCAGTCTTGCCACGGGAGTATACCGAACAAAGGAGACAGGGTCATTTATAACCTGACACGTCTACCCTACTGCTGTGTCCGGTTTCCGTTGGCTGGAACGGGACCTCACATTCTGTATTTGTCCAGATTGGCTAGCAACTTAGAGCTTTTAAAAAGAGGCAAAGGCAGAGGACACCAAAGGAAGGAGGAAGTAACTTGTGGAATGCTGAGAAAGGTAAAAACACCTTCACATAAGGAAGAGGCACAGGCTATGACCTAATGCTTGCTTGGACCAGTATGAGCATGCCAGGGCAAATATTTAGGCTAAATTGTGGGAGCTAAGAACATAAAGTACATTGATTTCTTTATTACCGCTAGCAGATATTGAAGAATGTTAGCACAGGTCTTTGAATAAATTTTGTTTCTAAGAGAAAGTTACTATTTATTCCTAATTAGATGGGGAGGAAAGTCTTTGAAGAGGAAGCTCTACTTTACTTTTTACATGATTATTACTTAATTTAACATAACATGACTCAAAGATTTTAAATGACTGAAATGAATTTTGAAACTATGACACATGTCACCTCTCTAATGTCTTCCCCCAGTCATTCCAGGTCCCAATTAGCCACCTGGCAACCAGGAGGATCTGAAGGCCAAGGCCTGACTGAGACCATCAGGACAGAAGACAGAGCTGTGAAGACTATACCTGGAGGATCCAGCCCCTCCCAAAATAGCCAGGAGGCAAAACAGGGAAAGAAGAGGAATAAAGGGTCATATTGGGCTTGGTTCTGGCTTGCAGTTGCTGGTCTAGGCACTAGGAACCTGTCTCCTGACTTTGTCATGGTCACCTATCTAGACCCCTGAATCCAGAGACTCTAAACAAAAGACATAAGCTCACAGTGAAATCAAGCAAGTATCCAATTATATTTCATTGATAATTTTAAAGCCATTTCTATTTGACCAACAATTTAAAAACTAGCTTTATTTACCAAATATCACATCTACATAACACACACAGACATACGAACACACAGAAGCAGACCTCATAGCTCTCATAAGGGATTTTCATTTATCTGCTTTTAAATAGTTTGTCTTTTCCCCATTCGGTCTATCAGTCTTCCAATTACCAGTTTCATTACTCTAAGCAGTCGTTAACTAGGCAGTTTCGATTTCTAAAAGGACAACTCTTAGGTGGAACCAAAAAAAAATATTTCATGAGCACAGAGCTAAGACGTTAGGCCTAAATATTGTATCATCATTTGCTCAAACCAAGGGAAAAAAACGACACTCTCACGAAAGTTCCATCAAGAAAAAATGGCCAGAAAAGCACCTTAAACAAAGGTATGACTTATTATGTAAACTTAAAAGAATGGTAAGAATTTCTAATGTAATAACCAGATATCCATAAAAATTGAGATTTCCTTTACAGAAGTAAATTTCTTTTACAAAAGTGTTTCAGTATGGCCAATTAAATTCCAGAAAGGTGTAGCGTAGTTCCATGGGGTGTTCTTTTTAACACAGCTACTGTTTTTAGCTAAAATCACTGAGTTCAGGGTAATGGGTGGAGTCCATTAAAGAATGGGACCAATAAAGCACTGTATGCCTGAACTTAGCATGGATAGATCTGAAAAGGAGCAAGCCTATTGTACCTGAGGGCCTACCTTTTATAAACACCATATCTAGGATAGCTTTCTTTCCACCTGTAGGGCGGGATTCCACCTTTGGCTTTTCTACTAAGCCAAAAGGTTAGCAGATTTAATTTTCATTTTATCAATTAGTCGCTTATGCTTTTTATTTGCCTTTCATAAAGTCTTTAAATAAAAATAATGAAATCTTTTTACAAGCTTCTGCATATCAATAGGCATCTGTAGATGAGACTAATTTGGGAGCCCTCAATCAAATGCACTTCAGTGCAGTGTTCACCTAAAACTTTCCACTGTAACTTATCTTTAGTAATATTTTCTGTTTCTGTAAAATGTTGCTGCTTCCAGAGCCCAATACTTATGCATGTATAAGACAGAAGGATCTTAATTCTTCAAAAATTAAATATCCCATTTTTACCTCACATATTGGCTTTCCTCTCAGGTTCCCTTGATCAACCTAGCCAATGATTTTTTTGTGTGCACAAGAAAAAATAAAACAAAGGCGTAGAACACAAAACTACTTGCAAATTTCCAAAAGCTAAATTTTACACCCCTTGCAATACTGCCATTTACTACTGGTTTCTTTCTGACCCAGTCAGAAGTAAGACGCCTGTAACTGGATCCAAGTCAGTATCCCGGACCGAGTCCAGTTTTTGTCATGAATTCCAACCCAGTTTGGATCAAAAATTTGCGCAAAGAAAATTGGAGAGCCGAATACACAAATTCACGGAGCTTTGGAATCCGAGAGAAAACTTACCATCATCCCCAGCTGCTCCGAGAGAGCAATGAACACAATGAACCCAATGGGTACCTTGCTTGGTCACTCAGCACTCCTGGGAGTTGTTAGAAGCTGTACTTCAGATCCCACTTCTGATACCATCTGTTAAAAGAAAAAGTTCAGCTGAATTAAATTTAGCAGAGTTTAATTGAGCAATGAATGATTCATGAATCGGGCAACCTCCTGAGCCAAAGTAGGTTCAGAGACTCCAGTGAAGCTGCATGGTGGAAGAGGATTTATGGACAGAAAAAAAAAAGTGACTTACAGAAAATGGAGGTGAGGTACAGAAACAGCCAGATTAAGTTTAGCTTGGTGATTTTTTTATTTGAACATGGTTTGAACAGTTGGCCACATTTGATTGGCCAAAACTCAGTGATTGGCACAAGAGTGGACTTTAGGCTGTTTACAATGTCATTTAAGTTATAGTTCACAACGTACAGAGAAACCTTTAGGCTGAACTTATGTATGGAGGTAGCTTTAAGCTAAACTTGATTTAACAGTTTTCTAAAATCACATTTCCTCTAAATAATACCTCTACATTGCTTTAATTTTCTTATTTTCTACAGTGTCCTGATGATACTTCCATTGCCACTTAATAACTGGATGAGCTTGGGTAAGTTACCTAATCTTTTGTGCACCTCTTTTATCATCTACAAAATTAAAATAATGGCACATATTTGAGTGTGAAGCATGTACCCAGAGTTTTAGAGAAAGGATATTTAAACATTTATAGAAAAGGGTCTACTAACAAATCTTTCCAAAGGAATCTGAAAAATATTTTTAGAAGATTAATTAGGTGGCTCTTTTATCAATCCAAGCCAGAGGTCATGAGGGCCTGAACTAAAGTAATGGCTGTGGGGATGAAGAGGAAGGGACAGATCTGAGACAGAATGTACAAATGTCATGCTGTGATTGGGAACTAGGGGTAGAAGAATCTGTGATGCCTGCCAAGTTTCTTGTCAAAGGCCACTGGTTGGATGGTCACATAATTAGCTAATATAGAGAACACTGAGAGAGAGGAAATGATAAGTACGATTTTTTCAACATCTAAATATCAGAACCTAAGTTAAGTGCTTTATGGGGAATATTTTATTTAATGCATACAACTGTCTTAGGAAGTCAGTAACATAATTATTCTTGTTTTCAGATATAGAAACTGAGGCTCAAATGAGTTAAATAACTTGCCCATATAAGAAATCAAATGAGTCATATAGTCAAATACAAAATTACATCTGCTCAATTCCAGAGCAAATGCTCTTAACTATTACTAGTCCAGAATGTGCTGGTTCAACCAATGATGTATATTGCTAATGTTTATTTTTAAATGCATCCAAGTGTCTCATTATAAAGCTAGCATGTCCTTATTTTTCTAGTGGTATAGCCTCTAAATCTTTATTAAATCAATGTTCTAAAATGGTGATTGCAAAATATACAACACATTGAATCCTATTTTGTTTACTAAATGTGTATGAATAAATGTATCTGAATTTCACAGACATGTCCTCAGATATATAAAAGGTAAGTTTTTGCATGAGTGAAGACTCTATTGGCACTCATTAGTGATCAAATTATCCAAGCTGACTCAAGATAAACTAAGTCACTTCCAGTTCACAACTCAGTTTCTTTTGCATAGTCAGTTTGGTAGTTTTCCCCTCCCTCTTCTTGTGTCATTATTCCTAAGAAGATGGAGATGTTTATGTTTTTAAAATCAGGATTCAAGCATCTTGTCCACAATAATCAGTAGTCTACTCTGGCTTCCTCTGAGATGTACCTCATATGCTTTTGCTGATTTCATTGTGTTTTGCTCTCTATTGCTGATGGTTGTAGTCCTGCCATGATCTCCTGTCGCTGGGCCATTGGGATCCTGGGAACTTGAGTGATTTCAGTTAAGTATATGAGGCAAGCTCAAATACATTGGCCTAACCCCTGCACTCAGCCATGGCTGCTCTACAACTCTGGTCCATTCTAGGACTTCTGTTGGCAACTCCCCTTGCTCCAGGTACTCTAGCCTATGCTGGAAAACTGCTGTTACCCTCTGCCTCTGCATTCCCAATCTAATGGATTACGTGAGTTCAGCTTTAAATTTGCAGCTTGTCATTCTTGTGGGAAAATTAAGAAGAGATGGTTAGTGAGCAACTGGAAATATGTGTCTGGAACTCAGAAGAGATTTCTGGGTTTGAGATAGATTTTACAGAAGCATCAGCATATATACATGGTGGTTTCTGATATGGGTGCTGATAACATCATTCAGGAATCATGCATGAACTTATAAAAATAGAGGCAAGAATCATTGGTTATGGTTATAATTAAAGGGTATGTAGAGGAAGCAGAGCCCACAAGTATATTGACATAGATACATATCTGCGTGGGCTAGCTGGCAAATATACTCAGATATTTCAAGGAGTCCAAATAACTGGATCTAAAATACTAGAGAGTTTTAACAGGAACTAATGTAAAGATTTGCACATCCATTCAAAAAGTCAGTCGTACATAGGTACAAGATGAGGAAAGTCAGGGTTAATATGTACAACTTGGTTTTTAAAAAGACCCAGCAAGATTAAGGCTGGTTGACTACAACATCAGTGCCTAGAGTAAGAAACAATCCATCTGATCAAAACTGATTTTTCCAAATAGCTTTCTTACTTCCCTGCTTTATCTAATAAGGCCATTTATCTTCAAATTAGCATTTGGCTTTTTTCTAGCTCTTAAGATGCAAAGTGTGTATCACCCCATCTGCTATTTTTGAGAGCCTCTGCTTTAGAATTCCTGCAATGGTTGCTTCACAATACCCCTATCTTCCAGTGTCTAATAGTCTCCTCATGTCATAGTAAAATATAATTGCTAATATACCTTATATCATTTTCTCTCTTGGCCATTTTAGCCAAATTTACATCCTCAGAAGTTAGGACACCCACTTATGATTGAGAACATATATTTGTCTTTCTGCATTTGGTTGCTCTTAAGATAATGACCTCCAATATCATCTATGTTGCTGCAAAAGATATTATTTCATTTTTAATGGCTGAATAGTATTCCATCGTGTATATATGCCTATTATGCAATCTATGCACGTAATGAAATTGCACTTGTGTCCCATATGTTTATATAAATAAATGAATAAAATAAAGCTGTAATAAAGCCAAATATAAGCATGCTTTCTTAAAGGTGCACATAAGCTGTTTTCTTTCAGTGAATGGAAGTATTTGACAGAGAAACACCTTTGGAAGCAAACATTGAGAATATGTTGTTACAACATAAAACAAGTTAGGATAATTCAGTTTTGAATCAATTACACTCAAACACCTCTGCTTCAGTAACTTAGATCTAATAGTTGTCAAGCTGGGATCAATGTCTCAGACTGGCACATTTCTCTAACCTGCTGTTGTGTTCAGTCTGTGCTGGCTTGATGATATTTGACCCTTTCAGTCAACATGTTTCTGGATGCTTGAAAAAAAGTATTAATGAGTTCAATAAAGACTAAAGCCAGCAGTCTTTGGACATAGATAATTAAGCCTTTGTAAACCCAATATTGGTTAGTTTATTTTTGCTACTATAACAAGATACCATAGACTAGGTGGCTTATGAACAACAGACATTTATTTCTTACAGTTCTGGAGGCTGGGAAGTCCAAGATCAAGGTACCAGCACATGTGATGTCTGGTGAGGACCTGATTTCTCTGTGTGTGTGGTTTTTTTTTTTTTTTTTTTTTTTTTTTTTTTAGATGGAGTCTCACTCTGTTGCCCAAGCTGGAATGCAGTGGCACGATCTCAGCTCGCTACAACCTCTGCCTCCCAGGTTCAAGAGATTCTCCTGCCTCAGTCTCCTGAGTAGCTGGGACTGCAGGTGTGTGCCACCACACCTGGCTAATTTTTGTGTTTTTAGTAGAGACAGGGTTTCACCATGTTGGCCAGGCTGGTCTCAAACTCCTGACCTCAGGTAATCCACCTGCTTCGGCCTCCCAAAGTGCTGGGATTACAAGCGTGAGCCACTGTGCCCGGCCCTGATTTCTGTTTTATAGAAATCTGTCTTCTACCTGTGTCCCCACATGGCAGAAGGGGCAGGGGAGCTTCCTGATATCCTTTATTAAGGGCAGTAATACCATTCATACCCTCACCACCTAATAATCTCCCAAAAGGCCTCAGCTCCTAATACCATCACTTTGAGGATTAGGTTTCAAATTACGAATTTTGGGCAGAACACAAACATTCAGTCTATAGCGTATTTCAAACCTTGTTTCATAATTATTGTATTTAATTTACTTTACTTTTAAAATTTTTCCAAGTAATGTCATCTTTCTTTTTGTCCTCAATCTTCCATTACTGAACTGATAATGCCAATCTAGACTTTTCGTATTTATTTATGTATGATAATTCTTGAACATCTTTGATCTTACATCTTTTGTCTATTCTTTCAGAGAGTTATATTAAATTACAGATATATTTGTTTCATTTTTATAAATTTACTATTACTACTATAATTTATATCAATATAGCAGTGATCCCTGGCACTCACCTGAGCAAGGGCATAAGCTCTTAATTATTAGCTTGATCCTGTGTTTGCTGTAGGTCCTTGAACACATATGTATGCTTGTGTAATATGGAGCATTTTTTCTCATCAGGAAAAACTTTATTGTAAGTGCTGTTTTGTATAGATGCCATTATCTTCTTTAATTGTTTCATTCAACCATATAATTTGAAAATATATCCACGTTATTGTGTGTTTACCTAGTTCATTGTTTCTCACTGCTACATAACATTACACAGCATGTATCCATCACATTTTACTTTTCCTTGTACAAAAATGATGAATTAGCACTGTGTTTCTGCTCCTTTTTATAACAAAACTTATTGAAACAGATATTTACACTTGTTGTCTTCACTTCCTCACCTCTTATTCTTTCTTGAACACACAATAATTGGACTCTTGTCTCTAAAACTGCATTTTGCCACTGCGTTGAAACATGTTTGTCAAGGTCTCCAGTGAATTCTGAGTTGCCAAATCCAATTGTCATTTTTTAGTTGTCATTTTAGTTGACCTTTCAGCTGCAAAATTCGGCCTACCACTTCGACCTCATACCCTACCACTTTCTACTTTATTCACTAGAATCCAACTACATGTGTTATATTGTTTTTCTGCAAACACAATGCCTGACTTAATACTATTTTCTTTGCTTTTACTGGTTACTCTGTCTGAGACCACTCTTATCTTCAGATAGGTATACACATAGCTCATTTCTTCCATTAATTAACAGCTCCTCAGGGTAGCCTGTCACTATCATTCTCTATTTCCTTACCCTACTTTAGGTTAACTCATAACACTTTTATTATCATATGAAATTTCATTATATCATTATTTATTTATTTTGTTTGTTTTCTGTCTCTCCTCATTAAAATGTAAGTTCCTTGAGTGCAGAGATATTTTTGCAATTTATTTCACCAATATATTGCTATTGCCTCACACAATGCTTGGTGAATAGTAAGTACTGAGTAAATTTTAGTTGAGTCAATAACTGAATAATGACACATGAAATGCTCTCATAGTTTATGTAGAGGGCCAAAACCAGTGTGTATAACATATGAATGTTATTTAACATTCTTTAAGCTAGAAAATAAAAGGTCAGAAGAAAAATTATTTAACTGGTTTATATATTTTGATTCTTGAAACTGCTACCTCATTGCTTATTTTGAAGGGACCAGAATTAGGTCTAGTCCAAAGCAAAGAGTCATCCTTGAATTTGGTAAGTGCCTAAAAGAGCTATAAACTTGTAAAGGACTATAAAACATGTATTACATAATAAATGTAATGAAAATTTTATAGAAATAAAAAATTGCTCTTTCACCTATGAAAACCCCAAATATAAAAACCTCAATTTATAAACAATGTACTTGCCTCAAAAATAATAAGCTTATTGTATAATTCAAACTATAAACCAAACGAAGTTAGTTGTTTCTTAAATGTTTAATTGTATCCTCTAACAGATAATATTTCTTTCCCTCTAAGGAAATACCACTAATCAGTACGTTGTGAAATTTTAGATGACAAGATTACCAGATTGGCCTCTATTCTAGAAAGCATACTAAACCATATCTAGAAAGCACAAACTAGTAATTATGTCACTTATTATTGCCATTTTCACTCTAAAATTAAGCTGTCTTGTTTTTTCAGCTCTTGTTACACTAAAGACCATTCATTCTTGAAACAGATGGGCCCTTGCTAATTAAGAAAACTGCTCCAGTTCATTAAAGAAATAGCAAACAACCAGATGAAGTGTCAGTTCTTAGGGACACTCAATGTGCAAAGCTTGATCACATTACTCACTTGTTCCATCTTCCTCTGAAACACTGACTCAACCTAAGCATTTAACATAGATTACTTTTAATTATAGTAATTGCAAAAACCACAGCATACTAAAAAAGATTATGTGTGTGTTTTATTATTTTGGGGGTAAATAGCTCATAAAAAGATGATAATTATAAAATTATCATCATACTTGGAAGAGACATTAGGGATCTTTTAGTTTAACATCTTTCACTCAGTTGTTCAATACTTAACCAGCTTCTTCTAGGATTTGCTAAAATTTGTGCTAAATGCTTATGATGCAGATATTAATAGGGTTATCTTTGCCCTCAAGGATTTCATAATCTACTTGAGGATATAGAAAAATATAAGGCAATCACAATAAATTCTATTACTTTGCTATTAAAATATTTAAGAAATTTTGCGATTGCAGAGAGAAAGAAATATCTAGTGTGGGTGGGGTGGTAAGATAAGGGTTTTGGGGAAGAGAAAATATTTGAATTATGTTCTGAGACATGCAAATGTTCCCTTGGGCTAGGAGTAGGGGTAAGCATGTGGAATGAGAAAGATTTCCAGGAAGATGGATCAGCATATAAAAAGGTACAAAACCATAGACAGGTCTGACACATTTGACTAGATCAGACAGAAGAAATAGGCAGGACTGAGATCATAAAGATCCTGTTTGGCCATTGTTTGTAACTTTAGAATTGATCCTAAAATAGGTCTCAGATAGGGAGGTTACATGGTCAAATATATATTGTAGAAATGCCACCCTGGTAGCAGTGTAGAGAAAATATTTAGCAGGTATAAAACTATAGGTAGAGAAACAGTGAAAAATTTTAAAAATATTCTAAATGATAAAGAAGATCTGAAGTAAAGTTACTGTAATGCCGGGGAGAAAACATCACAGTGGGACTGTTCTTGGAGTATTTGAAGAATAGCAATGAAGCCAACATATTTGAAGTCCTGGAAGAGTAGTTCCAGGAGATTAAGAGACCAAGGTGTATAATGCCTTGTATAGCCATGGTCAGATTTGAACTTTATTGTATATGTGATGGAAGGACATTGGAGGGTTTTGAGCACAGGAGTATCTCATCTCACTACTATAAAAAAAAACTTCTCTGGGCGCTATATTGACAACAGTATACAAGAGGACAAGAGGGAAAGCAGAGGGATCAGATCGAAGGCTATTGAAATAATCCAGGGAAGAGATGATGGTGACTCAATTGAGGGTAGTAGCAGTGCAAGTGTCAATAAGTAGCTAGATTTTGGATACATTTTTGAACTACAGTACCCCTCTCCAGTCATAGTTTTAGTTTCCCATGGTTGCATGTTCCAAAAACATTAAATGAAATACTCCAGAAATAAGCCATTCATAAGTTTTAAATTGCAAGCCATTCTGAATAGTGTGATGAAATCTCATGCCATCCACTCCATCCTGCCCAGACTTGAATAATCTCTTTGTCTAGCATATCCATGCAGTAGGCACTACTCTCCTGTTAGTCACTTAGTAGCTATCTGGGTGATCAAGACTTTAAATTAACTGTCATGGTATTGCAGTTCTTATGTTCAAGGAATGCTTATTTTACTTTTATTACAGCACATTGTTATAATTTATTATTTATTGCTGTTAATTTCTTACTGTACTTACTTTACAAATGGAACTTCATCATAGGTATGTATATGTACATATATATAGGAAAAAACATAGTATATCTAGGGTTTGGTACTATGATTGGTTTCAAGCATCCCCTGGGGGTCATGGAATCCATCCCTCATGGATAAAAGGGGATCACTGTGGAGCTAATAGGATTGCTGACAGATTGAATGCATTTTGTGAGTAATAAAATAATAGACAATCTTGCCTCCAATTATTTTGTCCTGAGGAGCCAGAAGGATGAAATTGACCATTACCGAGTGAAAAGGACTTGTGGAAGGGTCAAGTTTCAGAATGAGGAATCAATAGTTTAATTTATAAAATATTAAGTTCAATATTATTGTTAGACATACAATAGATGGCAAGTATGTACGTGGACATTGGAGTCTAAAGTTTATAAGAAAAGTATTGGCTGGTGATATAAATTTGAGTCATTGGTATAGAAATACAGACACATGCCATGAACATTGCACTGGTTGCAAGTTGAGAAGAAGAAGAGAATCCAGGAAGTAAGGTTGAGACATAACAGCCAGCAGAATAAAATGACAACTAAGAAAGTGTGATATCCCAGAAGTGAAGTGAAGAGAGACAATGCTATATATGCTCTATAGGTATACACACACTCGCACATATATGTATTTATATAAATGTACAAATATCTATTTATAACTTAATGTGCATATACACACGCACACACACATAGATAGGTATGTATATAAATGCAATAAATATGCCTGGATGGTCCAGGAAGAGGGAGTGGTCCATGAAGAGGGAGTGACCAATTTTGCCAAAAGCTACTCCGTGGTTTATTAAAATCAGGACTGACAAAGTACCATTGAATTTTGCAACATGGAATTTATAGATGGCCTTGACAACAGCAGGATCAGTGGATTAGAAGGGATGAAAGCCTAATAGAAGTGGATTCAAGAAAATAGGAAGAATGTAAGTGAAGGCACTCACTACAGGAAATTACTTTGAGAATTTTGCTGAAAACAAGGCTAATTCCTCCCCAGGGGGAAAAAAGGTGTTACATGTAATGGTATCATTGACCAGTGAGAACCAACAAAATAGATGTAAATACAACAATATAAATATGTTTTTAAAGGTAATAGGACACAGAATGATATATTTAGCACAATACCATTTATTTAGATACAAAACTAAAGCTCACAAAATAATGTCTCCTCCTTCCCATGATCTCTATGTCCAGTGTCATCCTCAAATATAACCATTGTCATTGATGTCCATCCAGAAATAAACACACACACACGTACACACACACATACACACAGACATGCACACAACACACTATTTTTGGTATAATAACTGACTCTTTTAGTTCTGCCATTCCCTAAGATTGTCTTTAACTGGATGGTCAAGGTAGAATTGCTTATGTCCATGTTCTACTTCATGAATAGATGGGAAAATACTCTAGGGAAGGTCATTTTCTGTAATTTAAGATAGTCTGGAATTCAAGTACCTGACTTCTACTCCCATTTCAAAAACCCAAAATTAGACACATGGCCACTCCTAGCTGAAACTTAACTGTCTGAGAGTTAGGGTGAGACAGCTATAAGAGCTTGAGGAAAGACGTGATAAAATATAATCATCAAAAAACAGAAAAGTAAATTGATGGGAAACAATATAATTGCAGATAGCATTTGTCTTAGTCTGTTAGTGTTGCTATAAACAAATACCTGAGAATGGGTAATTTTAAAATAAAAGATGTTTATTTGGCTCACAGTTTTGCAGGCTGTACAAGGAGCATGGTGTAAGCATCTTCTTGGCTTCTGGTGAAGACCTCAGGCTACTTCCATTCGTGATACAAGGCGAAAGGGAGGCAGCATGTGCAGAGATTACATTGTAAGAGAGGAAGCAATGGAGAGAGAGTGGGGAGGTCCAGGATGTTTTTAACAACCAGCTTTCACAGGAACTGAGTAAGGACTCACCCCTTCCAGGAAAAAAAATTAATCTATTCCTGAGGGATCCCCCTTCATGACCCAAACACCACCCATTACACCCTCATCTCCAACACTGGGATCAAATTTCAACATGAAGTTTGGGGGAACAAACATTCAAACTACAGTGTTCCACCCCTGGCCTCCCAAATCTCATGTTCTTCTCACATGCAAAATACAATAATTCCATCAGTCTCCAAAACTGTTAAAAATCTGAAATCCAAAGGCTCTTCCAAGATTCGAGGTTAGATCCTTCCAGCTATGAGCCTATAAAATCAAAACCAAGTTTTCTTTAACTTCCGAGATATAGTTGTTTTATAGGTATTTGGTGAATATTTCCATTCCAAAAGGGAGAAATTGGCCAAAAGAAAGGAGTAAAAGGCCCCATGAAAGTCCAAAATCCAAGAAGGTAGACATTAAATCTTAAAGCTCCAAAATAATCTTTGAGTCCATGTCTTGCATCCTGGGCACACTGGTGTCAGAGGTGGGCTCCTAAAACCTTGAGAAGTCCTATGACCATAGCTTTGCTGGTTGCAAATCACATGGCTGTTCTCACAGGTTGAAGTTTAATTCCTGTGGCTTTTCCAGGCTAAGGTTGCACACTGCTTGTGGTTCTACAATTCTTAGGTTCTTAATGCCACCTCACTCCTGTGACTCCACTAGGTATTGCCCCAGTGATGACTCTCTGTGGCAGCTCTTTCTCTGCCACAGAGAAGAGAAAGGTGCATGCTTCTTCCTGGGCACCCAGGATTTCCCATTCATCCTCTGAAATTTAGGTGGAAGCCACCAAGCCACCACCACTCTTGCATTTTGGGCACCTGCAGACTTAGCATCATGTGAATGTTGCCAAGGGTATGGCTTGCACTCTCAGGTGTAGTGGCCCAAGCTATACCTGGGGCCATTTGAGCCACAGCTGGTGTCAGAGCAGGTGGGATGCAGGAAGCAGCATCTTCAGGTGGTGCAGGGCAGTAGCACCCTTGGCCTATACCCTAAAACCATTCTGTCTTCCTAGGCCTATGGGCTTATTTTGGTAGGGGAAGCCCCAGAGATCTTTGAAATGCCTTCAGGGCCTTTTTCCCATTGTCTTGACTACTAGCACCAGGCCATAGTTAGTCATGTTAATTGCTTTAGCAACCAGTTGTTGGGTTTTTCTCTGAAAACGCTTTCCTTCTCAACCATATAGTCAGGTTTCTATTTTTTTTAATTTTTATGTTGTGTTTTCCTTTTAATTATAAGTTACATATTTACATCATTCATTTGCTGCCATATCTAGTCATAAGTTGTTAAAAGTAGCCACACCATTTCTTTGCTTCTTAGAAGCTTCTTCCATCTAATGCCCTAGGTTATCACTCTTAAGTTTGGCCTTCCACAAAACCCTAGGACATGAACTTAATTGCCGCTGAGGTTTTTGCTACAGTGTAACAAGGGTGACTTTTGCTCCAGTTCCCAGTAAGTTCCTCATTTCCATCTCAGATCTCATCACCATGGACTTTACTGTCTGTATTTCTATTAGCATTTTGGTCACAATCACTTAACCAATTGTATTAGTCCATTTTTACACTGCTATAAAGATACTACACAAGACAAGGTAATTTAAAAAGAAAAGAGGTTTCATTGGCTCACAGTTCCACATGACTGGGGAGGCCTCAAAAACTTACAATCACAGCAGAAGGGGAAGAGGCACATCTTACATGGCAGCAGGTGAGGGAGAATGAGCAAGGGCGGGGAAAACTGCCTTATAAAACCATCAGATCTTGTGAGAACTCACTATCATGAGAACAGCATGGAGGAATATGTCCCCATAATCCAATCACCTCCCGCCTGGTCCCTTCCTTGTCACATAAAGGATTACAATTCAAGATGAGATTTGGATGGGACACAGCAAAACAGTATCACCAATCTCTGAAGTTCTAATCTTTCCCCCATCTTTTGTTTTGTTTTGTTTTCTTCTGAAACTTCCAAACTCTTCCAACTTCTGTCCATTACCCAGTTCCAAAGCCACTTTCCCATTTTCAGGTGTCTTTATGGAAACATTGAACTCCTTGGTACCATTTTTTTTGGTCTTAGACTGTTGTGGTGCTATAAAGGAATATCAGATGCTTAGTTATTTATAAGAAAGAGGTTTATTTGGCTCATGGTTTTATAGGCTTTACACAAAGCATAGCACCAGCATCTTCTCAACTTCTAGTGAGGGCCTCACGCTGGTTTCACTGATGGCAGAAGGTAAAGGTAAGCTGGCATGTGCAGAGGTAACATGGCAAGAGAAGAAGCAAGAGGGAGAAAGAGAGAAACAGAGAGAGAGGAGGTACACAGGTTCTTTTTAACAACCAGCTCTCATGAGAACAAATTCAGTGAGGACTAACTCACTCCTCCTCAGGGAAGATGTTAATCCATTCGTGGGAATCTACTCCATGACTTAAACAACTCTCATTAGGCCCCACTCAAACATTCAGGATCAAATTGTAACATGAGGTTTAGGGGTACAAACATCCAAACTATAATAGCATTGAAGGCTCACTTGAGATTTGTGATTGGGAATTTCAAGTGAGCCTAGTTAACAGAGTTGTTCTGTCTCCGATCATGTTCAGCTTCACCAGGATATTTCCACACGGGAAATATCCTGGGCATCATATTCAACCAGGGTGGGTTTGCCAAAGAAGGATAAAAAACTGAGAGAGAAGCAAAGGAATTGTAAATTTACGCAAGGGAGTGATTATAATGGTTGACCACTTCACAGACAAACAGGTTCACAGAAGGTCAAGAATTCACCAAATATCATAAACCTGGAAATATGTGGAGCCACCAGTTGAACCTACATCAACCTGCTAACAACTTCTGGCCTTGTTACATTGTAACACATGGGATTATTGCTTTAAGACAGAACTGAACAACACAGTTTGATGGATCGAATAAATCCTATGTATCAGAGAAGTAGATGTACAACCTTACATAATGGTAGCCAACTATGTGACTTCACAATTAAGATCAAATGATATTTAAATAGAAAAATATGTGAATGATATAGAATAAATAAAAAAGAGCTCCCTAATGGATCTATACAGGCAAGGCTCATGGCCTTAAAAAGTTCCTTGTTATCATCAAGTGACTAAAGTCCAAGCTTAATTTTGCTAATGAAGAAACTGAAGTCTAGAAAATCTAAGGCAGGGCCAGAACTAAAACAGAGGTCTCGTGGTATCTCAGCTATCATTCTTTCTATCGCACCATGCAATATTAGAGGGCTTTGGTATAGTCCTGCCTAATACCAAGAAGACTGGACATACTGCCTTCATTCTGTTGTTTTAAGATACAATCTCTGATTCTGCAATACCGCCACAGGCTTATAAACACTGATACCTAATAACTTTATTCTTTTAGCCTCTCCATGGCTCTGCGTCCTTTATCCTAAAGACTTATGGAGGTTAAGAATTCAAGGTATTAATTCGACTATTTCAAGAAAAACTGAGAGCAAAAATAAATAAGGGATGATAATAGAAAAAGCAGCAAATATTTCACAATGTCCTAAGCAATTTTCAACTGAAGACGATGAGCTTAAGAACTGTTACTGGTAGATAGTGCTTATTGAATTTTTTCTTACATTGCTGAATAATTTCACATTACTTAGTCGGTGCCATTATGCATTTCTATCACAATAGGGGGAAAAACATTAAACTAATGAATGTCGTGCCTCGTTTGTCAAGATCTGAGTCATTAGCATGAAACATCTTTCATTGTGAATGCAATTTGGGAGATTCGATCATATTTTTCCTATTTGAAAATACCCGCGTGGTTAGTACTGAGCCATTTTATTAATACATTGAATATTAAAAATAATTTGACATGGAAAAGCTATTTGAGACTACATAACTATAAAGGAAAACAATAAGATGCTGCATATTTTATTGGTACAATCTACAGTTTATCTTTTTGTGAAAACAGCAAAGCTGTTATATGAACGACTACTTATGGGATGTCATATTGTTTTAAATATTTTGTAGAAATCAATTTCCATTTTCCTAGACACTGTTGTCAAGATACTGCTCTTGCAAGTATCAGGTGGGTGTCCTTCAGTGTAAACATCTCAGCACATGAAGGAGTCAGTGGATACACTGTTTAAGACAATGAACAAACTGGCTAATCCATATCTGGAGTGTCCAGCTATTGAGGCCAGAAAAAAGTTGAGGCAGTGAAAAAAATAAACCACTTGAAGGAAAGAAGAGGCATATGTCACATCTCCATTTTTCAACCCCTGTTTATGAAACTAGGAACCCTTGTCTCCATCAGAAGACTGAAAAAGAAATTAAGCCTAGGAAAATGGAAATGGGCAGATGTTTTGGCAGGGTTCATGGGACAGTATTTTCTGTCACATGTCAGATATGAGCTTTTGAATATTAGCATTCATACCTGAATATTGAAATATTATTTGTAGATCTGGAAGAGAATGGGGTTGAGATCTGCCTGGACACATACGCATCAGAGTTGTGTTGCCTGACTACAATGACTGGTTATTGAGCTATAAGTGACACAATATACCTTTGCGGGGGGGGGGTACAGGAATCTCTTATGTTAAAGATAATCTGCCATGATGCATGTGGCAGACAAGACCTAAGGTGGCCTCTAGTAATTCCCACCTCCTGGTATTTTTGACTTTCCGTAACTCCCTCTCTCTGAGAGTGGGCATAATCCGTGATTTGCTTCTAACAAAAAGATTTTGGCAAAGGCAATGGAATGTCACCCCCATGATTAGGTCACATTATATGGCAAAGATGGATGTTACATTATCTAAGACTCTTTATATAAGTCTCCATCTAAGCAGACTGGATTACAGACTCTGGGAGCTTGATGAAGCAAGTAGCCACGTTGAAGATAGCCACGTAGGAAGGAACTGCAGTTGCCCTCTAGGATCTGTCGGCAGCCTGTAGCTGACAGATAATAAAAAGCTGTAGCCCTAAATAATACAGCTGTAAAGAAATGAATTCTGCAGACACCTGACTGAGATTGGAAGGAAATTCTTTCCCAGTCAACCTTCCAGAAGAGACCTCAGTCCCAGCCAACATGTTGATTGCAGCTTTGTGAGATGCCAAAACAGAGAACCCAGCTAAGCCATGTCCAGACTCCTGATGCATGGAAATTTGAAGACGAGAAATGTGTGCATTGTTTAAGACATAGAGTGTGTGCTAACTTGTTATGCAGCAATAGAAAACTAATACAATGCATTATATATGTTCCCAAAATACCTCACAGTTTGTGGATTCATGTATGGAGTATAAAAGGGTTTATGGGGAAAATAGGATTGGAACAGACAACTTAAAAATCATGCAACTTCATTAAGAAAGCACAAACAAAAACAACAATGATAAAATCCTGGAAAATTTTTAAAATATATAATAAATTACTAACAAGGAATATAAAAGTAAATATATATCTTAGCCTTACCCAAAAGGATTAAAGGTAGTTTGATGGAGGGCAGTGTGAGGAATAGTCAAGATGGTTGAGACACGTAAGCAAAGGTAAAATGCACAATGATCCAGTAGAAGTGAGTAATAAGTACTTCCCAAGCAAGGCAGGTCATCTAAGCCATTATAAAGAACAAGCTGGAGAATGGACATCACGTACAGTATGTTAGTTGGCTAAAGAAACTGTAACAAAGTATGATAGACTGTAAGGCTTAAATAACAGAAGTTCATTGTTTCATGTTCCTAGAAGCTGCGGATCTAATATGAAGATGTTAGCAAAGTTGATTTCTTCTGAGGCTCTGAGGCAAAAATATCTTCCATGGCTCTACCTTTGGATAAGAAATGGCCATCTTCTCTTTCTTTCTTCACATCATCACTCTATGCATGTGTCTGTGTCCAAATATTCCCTTTTTATCAAGACAACAGTCATACTGTTAGGTCCCACCCTGATGACCTCAGTTTAACTTGATTATTTATGTAAAGACCGTATCTCCAAATAAGGTCACATTCGGAGCCACTAGGGGGTTAAGACTCAAACACATTTTCTCTTGAGAGGACACAGTTCACACCACTACATGCAGTAATAGACTCCTCTGTGGCTTGCTGGGTTTACTTGTGTCAATTTACTTATATTTGGCTGCTGTTACTTGGTGGTGCAAAAGTTTAATCTATAATAGGGAAAAATAGAGTATAAACCAACTCAACTTTCCCATTATGTTGACATTATTATGAATCCCCACTATGGAAATCTTCCCTGTAACAGAACAGTCTAGAAAACATCTATGCCCCCCTTTTATTCTTTCAGTCTCATATGATGACTGTGTGTGTGTGGGTGTGTGTGTGAGAGAGAAAAACATTTACTGAGTGTTCACCTCATTCAATTAAAATACAACATACTCTCACTCATGGGGGAGCTAAACATTGAACACACAAAGACATGAACATGGGAACAATGGGCATTGAGGACTACCCGAAGCCGGAGGGAGGATGAGGGTGTGGCATTAAAAACACATGGCTGGGTACTATGCTCACTACCTGGGTGATGGGATCCATACCTCAAACTTCAGCATCATGCCATATTCCCAGGTAACAAATCTGCACACGTATGCCCTGTGTCTAAAGTAAAATTTGGATTAGAAAAATATTTCTTCCTATCAATGAGCAGGCATTATACATTTTTATTTTAGTAATTCCAGGACACCTCATACTTTTGGTTGCTTTTGTGAATTTTTAAATTATTATAGCCTTATGGAACTGGCTGTGGCAGTGTTATAGAAACTTTTTGGTATCTTGATGTTGTGTGTGCAAGTTGCTAAAGAAATATTACTTTTCGCTGGATGTGGTGACTCATGCTTGTAGTCCCAACACTTTGGGAGGCTGAGGCAGGAGGATCACTGAAAGCTGGGAGTCTGAGGCCAACCTGGGAAATATAGTGAGATTCAGTCTTTACAAAAAATTATATTTTTATATATATATGTATACGTACATGTATACGTGTATATATGTGTATATATATAATATATATTATATACTATTTAAGTACATATTTATATTGATATATATTATATAATATAAATTTATAATATATTTATATTTATATTATATAAATTTATAATCTATTTATATTTATGTATATTATATTATATATACATTATATATAATATAGTCTATATACACATATTATGTATAAAATATATATTTATATTATATATTATATAAATTTATAATATATTTTTATATATGATAATATTATATATTTACATATTATATATTACATATACACATATATTATATATTATATATACACATATATATTATATATTATATATTATATATACACATATAATATATATACACATATATATAATATATTATATATTATATATACACATATATTATATATTATATATACACATATTATATATTATATATTATATATTATATATACACATATTATATATTATATAATATATATCATATATACACATATATAATATATATGATATATACACATATATAATATTATATATCATATATACACATATATAATATATATCATATATACACATATATAATATATATCATATATACACATATATAATATATATCATATATACACATATATAATATATATCATATACACATATATAATATATGATATATCATATATACACATATATAATATATCTTATATATACATATATATTATATATCATATATTATATATTATATATACACATATATATTATATATTATATATTATACATACATATATATTATATATTATTTATTATATATACACATATATATTATATATTATATATTATATATACACATATATATTATATATTATATATTATATGTACACGTATATATTATATATTATATATACACATATATATTATATATTATATATACACATTTATATTATATATTATATATACACATATATTATATATTATATATACACATATATATTAATTATATATTATATATACACATAGATATATATTATATATACACATATATAGAATATATTATATATTATATATACACATATAGAATATATTATATATTATATATACACATATATATTATATATTATATATTATATATACACATATAATATATTATATTGTACACATATATTATATATATATATATATATATATATATATGTATATATGATTTTTTGTAGAGACTGAATCTCACTGTATTCCGGGCTGGCCTCAAACTCCTGGCCTTCAGTGATATATATATAATTATATAATATATACACTTATTATATATAATGTATACTTATGTATAATTATATAATATATACATTTATTATATATAATGTATACTTATGTATAATTATATAATATATACATTTATTATATATAATGTATACTTATATACAATTATATAATATATACATTTATTATATATAATGTATACTTATATATAATTATATAATATATACATTTATTATATATAATGTATACATATATAATTATATAATATATACATTTATTATATATAATGTATACTTATATATAATATATGTATTATATGTAATTATATCTAATTTTTATATAAATTATATAATATAATTACAATATATAATTATAATATATAATTTTATAATATATAAATTATAGATAATATATAATTAGGTACATTCATATATAATTATATATATGTATACATTATGTAATTATATATATGTTATATATATAGCCAGGCATGGTGGTACACACCTGTATTCACAGCTAGTTTGGAGGCTGAAGCAAAAGATTGCTTGAGCCCAGGAGGTCGTGGTTGCTGTGAGTGAGCTGTGATGACACCACCGCACTCCAGCCTGGGTGACAAAGTGAGACCCTGTATCAAAAAAAAAAAAAAAAAAAAAAAAGAAGAAAAGAAAGAAATCTTACTTCTAAAATTTGATTTTCAGATTTTTAAAATTTTCTACGTAGATAATCATATCATATACAGTTAATGTCTGTATTATCTATCTAAGCAACAGACACCTTATGGCTTCTTATCTGAGATTTTAGGAACCGTTCAAAGTGTTGAATTTGTAGCCAACTTCTTGGGTTTCCTTTCAGCTATGGAAACTTATGGCATAATATTAGGTTTAAGTTATCTCACCCAATTGTATTTCAGTTTTATCATGCTAGCATGTAGGTTCATACTGGCTGCACCTTAAAAAATTGTGGTGAAAATTAAATTAAATATGAGAATTAAATTAAATCAATTACATGGAAAGTACTTACAATTTTTCTAGTGTTTATGACTCTCTTTCTGGCACAACGGATACTTTTCCTTCTTTTTCTTGAAATAAACTATATATTAAATAAGTCTTTATTAAATTATATTCAGCATTTCTGTGTATTTGAAGCAAGATGAAGCTTAGCAGCACTAGCCCACTCCTCCAGATTTCAGGAAGTAATCAGTGTTTCTAAAATTGTTATCTAATTATGACCTGTTCCAAGTCACCTGAGATCCATCTTAAAATGGCAAATTTCCAGACACTCTAGACCAGTCATACTGAAACATAATTTTGTAGCATGACTCCTGGAATCTGCATTTTAAACACATTGTACCTGTGCACATTCAAGTATAATAGCCACCTTTTTGGGATTTTCAACTTAGTGCCTCAGGACAGAAAAGATAACCAAATCCCTATTAAAGGGAAGAATGCCATTATATAAATTATTTTACTTGATTTTTCACATAAATAATTTCTGTCTCAGAAAGGCAAGGAAAAAGTCTTCAAAATGCTAGAATTATTTTGCTTTTTCCCTGAATCTCAGAGCATTGTTGACTTTTTGATTCTGCTTGTTTTAATAATGAATTCCTAAGTGTTTGGGTGCTTGTTGTAGGCATTCCTTAGCAGATCTGAAATAATCAAGAAGACCTCAAGCATAGCAGAGAGTCATTAAAAGCCTGGTATGGAGACTGGGCGCGGTGGCACACGCCTGTAACCCCAGCACTATGGGAGGCTGAGGTGGGTGGATCACTTGAGGTCAGGAGTTCGAGACCATCCTGATCAACATGGTGAAACTCCATCTCTACTAAAAATACAAAAATTAGCTGGGCATGGTGGCAGGTGCATATAATCCCAGCTAGTCGGGAAGCTGAGGCAGGAGAATCACTTGAGCCCATGAGGTGGAGGTTATGGTGAGCCAAGATCACGCCACTGCACTCCACCCTGGGCAACAGAGTGAGACTCCATCTCTAAAAAACAAAAACAAAACAAAAACTGGCTTGGTTTAGGTGGAGAGAACAAGTTAGGAATTTTCCATTTCAAGCCTACTGGAGGCTGTAGTGATGCTACATTTCATCTGTATGGAAAACCTTCTTACAACAATTAAATAGAGCATATTTTAATTTAGTTTCCAATAAGTTTAGATTGTGTAATTCAAGGTTACTTTTCTTTTTTCAGGAGACATTCTCGCACATCATGGTTTAGTATCTAATCCAGTGAGTTCAATGGTTGTTAAAGGACAATTCAATGCAGATTTGAACCATCAAAGTTTTACATTCAATGGACAAAGAGGTGAGGCTAAGAGATGCAATCAAGTAGCTGGGTAATGTCCCTTGGAATATAAGAAGATGATCACAAGGTTGACTGTAGAGGCATAGTACTAATGATTTTTTTTTCCTCCTGCCAAATTGAAGAAAATAATCTGGTATGCTTAAGCATCCAGCTAGTTAGTTTTGAATTCTGGGAAAGAGAGTCAGCATTCTGTTTCTGATTGGGGAGCTGAGGTCTTATAAGGGAGATTCTTACTGTGCAGGCAAAAGCTGAGAACAGTGATGTGATTAAGAGAAGAAGGCCAAGACACTTGGGGTGGAGCAAGATGGTTTAATAGAAGGCTCCATTGATCATCCCCACCCCGCCAAGGACACCAATTTAACAACTATCTACACACAAAAAAAGCACCTTCATAAGAACCCAAAATCAGGTGAGCACTCACAGTACCTGATTTTAAATAGGCATTGAAAAGGTAGAAAAAACAGTTCTGAATACCCAATGCCACCACTCCTCCATCCCCAGGCAAATGGGGAATGGTGCAGAGGGTTTTGGTGTACTGGATGAGGAAAAGCCCAGTAATTATGAGGCATTGAACTTAATACTGTCTTCTTATAGTGTAAAGGAAAACTCGACCAAACTCAGTTGACGCTTGACCACAGAGGGAGCATTGAAACCAGCCCTAGACAGAGGGGAACTTGAGTTCCTGCAAGCCTCTCCAAAATGGTCTAAGGTACTCTGGGGTTCTAAATAAACACAAAAGGCAGTGTAGGCCCAAAAGACTAAAAATCCTAGGTGAGTCCTAGTGCTGAAGTGGGCTGCTAGACAGTGGACTGGGGGTTGGGGGGCACAGGTACTACTGGGACAACAACTAGGGTGGCTAAGGGAGTGCTGGCATCAGCCCTCCCTTAAACCCAGGCTGCACAGCTCATGGCTACAAAAGAGATCCTTCCACTTGAGGAGATGAGAGGGAAGAGTGGGGAGGATTTTGTCTTGTATCTTGGATATCAGCTCAGACAGAACAGGATCGGACACTGGTCAGAGTCATGAGGTTCCCTTTCCAAGCTTTAGCTCCCAGATGACATTTCTAGACACTTGTCACTAGCTAGTATATCCTACAAGAATGGTTAAAGGAAGTTATCTAAACAGAAAGAAGTACAAAATTGAATCTTGGCACATAAGGAAAAAATAAAGAATACAATAAGCAGAAATATGGATAAATATAACAGACTTTTCTTTTTCTTCTGAAGTATTCTGTACCTACATATGTCTACTATTTTGGATAATGCAGTTCTTGATAATGGACCTGAAATATGAGATTTCTATAGTGGGAAGAAGGTCACTGAGAATAAGAGCATGCTAATGCCATTGGATTGGAAGTCTTGATGACAAAATAACTGAGAATGTGAGGGCACATGGGGCTAAGGGTATGTATAAGTAAGAGGCGATAATGAGAGAAGTCATGTTTTGCAGGTGGAGCCATCACTCACGATGACAATATTCAGAGTATAACCATGGGAGTCTTGGCTGCAGCGGAATGAAATAAAACATTTTTGGAAGTAAAGATGGCAAAGATCTGAAGGCATGGAGCTTTGGTTGGGTTACCCATATACATGTTTGAGTCAAGGCAGATGGTGACGGGAATAGGAGAGGCTGGAGATGACATGAGCCTAGGCCCCAAATGAAGGAAGAAATTTAAACAGGGTGCTGGTAGAAGTAACAGCAAGATTTGTAGTTAGACAGTACGGGCTACAAGGGAGCTGGGTAATTTTTAATGGGGAGGGAATTACATGGAATCCAACAGTGTCAGAGGATGAGGTGTTTCCTATGTCCATATGACAGCAAATAGAAAAATGAGAGAAAACTATTAACGATGGCATTAGAAAGGGCAAGTGTCAACCTAAGGCTTTTGTCAAAATTGAATGCACAGTGACATGCCAGATATGGCCATGGCCAGCATCCCTTGAGGCCTTGGGAATACACATGATATAAGGAAGAGACAAAATATTAAATAAAATAGAGTTTAGTTATTCTAAGGACGAATATTGACTTGGGAACCTGGAAATAGGGGCCATAATGGTTTTTGTTATGGCTGACATTAAGATATTTTTCAATTGGAATAGAAAAGCCAATAACTAACAAATAATTCAATTTTGCTGCTGAATATCAGTCATGATATTAAGGAAGGCAGTAAAGGGAGCCAGCTGGGGAACCAGGATGAACAACCATCTCTAACTCTCACAGGAAAGAGCTTCCTACAGAAGCAGTGACTCTACCTGGGGACACAAACACACAGCTCCATGCACAAATACAAAATGCAGACACTTTTATTAAATAGTTTCTATGAAGAAGGACCCAACAGGCAGATGAGGTTGCAGAGCAAGGACGACTCCTTGCACAAACACAAGTGACAGGGCAAAGTCTAGGGGCCAGCATCCTCCTGAAGAGGGCCTGGACCCAGTAGTGTTCTGGATCCAAGCCAGGGTGGATTCACTGAGGGCTTGTATCTCAGCAACTTGGGGATCAGGTCCAGGGCTCAGTAAAGCATTGCTAGTGGAAATTAAATTCCTACTGATGAGGATTCAGAAAGAAGAAAACAAGTTTAGTAATTTTCCTCTATCATTGCTTCTCTGTTCCCTGAATCCATTCCAGACTCCTGTTTTCAAACATACAAGGCTCACTCTGGTTGTATCCAGACAATTCAAACCCAGAAACAATCACAGAATGGCTCCCACATAAATGCTCCAGGTCGTCCCCATTCTTGCAGAGTATGCCTCTGTAGGTCTAACTAGGTGAGGTAATCTTGAAGGCAGATTTCTCACCAAAAGCTCATAAGCTCATAGCACATAACCCCAATGTCAGTCAGATTCATCTCTTCACTGTAGGCTCTCCTCATGGTCATTTCAATTGAGTAGGTACTCCAGAGTCCCACACAATGTGTCTTCTTCCAGAATAGGGCAAAACAGTGATTAGAGGCCCCACAGATAGGGATATTTTTCTTCTCTGGCAACAAGAGAAGTGGTAGCTGCAAGACCCCAGGAAGCTCTAGATGGACTGCTCACTGAAAAAGAGGTTAAGTAACTTTTCCTGGGTTACAGAGCCCATGAGTGACAATTTAACACCAATAGGCAGTCTGGCCCCAGAGCCCAGGCTCCCAAGTGCTACGCTAAAGGATATGGCTATAAGCCCAATGTGGGGCTAGCAGCTGTGGAGAACATGAACCGCAGAGAAAAAGGGATGTGAGTGGGAAGATTTATGACGTGGACAATGGGGCCAACTTGGTGACTCCCAGACTTTAGCATTCTGTGAACGAGCAAAAAAATCAAAACCTGGGAAACTCACAGTTATTTGGCTAGTTAAGTACATTTATACAGACATCAAGTATCATTTACTCTCCCCAGTATTTCAAAAAAGAAATGGCTTTTAAAAGCGAAAAAGGCAAAGGACATCATCTTAAAATGAAAGGCCATATTCTAAATTGAAACACACTGCATTGGCTGAACTTTTTTTTAATTGCCAAAGACTGAGATGCTGCATTAAATGAGTGGAACAAAAACAGTGCCTAGGACAGGCTTGATGACATCATATCAGTGCTCATGACATAGTAGTTGCCTGTCCTTATGTTGGCTCACAAGAGAAGGAAGGAAAGAAACAGCTTTCTCAGGCTGTCTTTCAATGTCATTTGATGATGTGTTTGTGTACCCTCTACAGTCATATCCTTACCAGTGGAGGATGCTGGCCCATAACTTAGGAAACAAGGAACCATCCTATAGGCATAGGGAACAACTGAGATTTAATCTTTAACTGAGACTATATTTTTTTTCCCAGAAGATACCAGGTGACAATGATGGCAAATGCCTCCTGGGTATCTGCCTGACTTACGCCCCTTCTTTAGAACAGCTCATCAACAATGGCCCTCGCTAACTGGGCTGTGGGGACTCCCTTATCCAAACAAACTGGGCCACTCCACTTCCCTCTTGTGGAAATTTAGGCAGAGGTTCTCAGACTGAGGTCAGACTGTGATGGGCATTGCAGGAAGAGATCAAGGGAAATATGGGGTCACATGTTTATTTCCTGCTGCAAGGACAACAGTAACAATTCCCACTTTACCAGGCTGTTGTGAGAATCACAGAGAAAATGTTCATAAGGCAAACACTGGAATGCCTGGCCCATGTGTGCACTTGGTGTGGTTTGCTACTTTTATTAATAATGCAGGCAAGTTCAACTGCAGAGAAATATTGAGAGTAAAGATGTAAAACTTGAAGGGAAAAGTAGAAGCAAGGAATCTGGGGGCCTCAGAGAGTGAGAACTGGAGCAGACAATTCTTCCCTTAAACTCACTGCAGCAGAAAAAGCCAATCAGCAGAGAGTGGCATAAGCAGGCACAAAGAAATAAGCAATGACAAGAGACCCCCCCCCTCCAAGGCCAGGACATATCTTGGTTCCTTTAAGTTCTTGACTGCAGTCTCCCATGGGGCCCAGTGGACATTCTGCACTTAGCTTCCACAATATATCCCCATTCCCTTCCAATACATTCTCTCTTTGTTATGAATAATTTTGAATGGGATGCTAATTCTAGCCACACCAATCCCTGGTAGGAACATGGGGAGACCAGGCAGAATTTGAGACCCAAGCAAGGCAGGAGCTACCACGGGGTATGAAGGTGGGCCCCCTATGCATTCTAGCCTAAGCAAGCCTGGAGCGAGAGAGCAGAATGAAGAAAGAGTCTGCAAGTTCCCTGAGTAAGGACAGGTAAGGATCTACCCAGCAAGACTGTGTTCCCAGATCTGCAGCATCACCTCCTGGTTCAAGGTCCCTCGGGTCAGGTCCTCTGGGCCAGGACCTCTTAGTAAAGATTGTGTCCACATCCTCAATGGTCACTGACCCCTAGAAAGTCTAAGAAAAGCAGGGATGCCCATAGGATGGAATTAGAGCTTGGCACTCAGTCAAGGGAAAAGATCCAGGGCGAAACAAAGTCTGGATAACTGTGTACCTCCTGGGGGCCTAGCTCTTTACTAGGCTCCTGGTGGGTGGGGAGAGTGGATGCTGCCTTTGAAGGGAATGCAATTGTGTTAGAGTGAAAAGCCTTTCATGGGGGAAGCTACTGAAAAATGGCACAAGACAATCATAAGCCCACATGCCCGGAGAAGAGCAGAGAGTGAACACTCTAGGACGTCAGAGAAAGGAGGAAATAATGACAATAATCATAAGACCAGTAGTGGGAACGGCAGCAGCAGCTGCTGCTGTGTTTTACTTGTCCTCACTGTGTGCTTGGCTCCATGCTGAGCACTTTACATACCATATTAAAGTGATTAAATGTTCCCAGCTCTGAAGCCAGACTCTCAAGTTTGCATCCAGACCTTGAGTCTGACACTTGCCAGGTGTGTGACCTTGCTTTCTCTGAGCTGCAATTTCTGCATCGACAACAGTTAACAATTCCCACTTTACCAGGTTGCTGTGAGAATCACAGAGAAAATGTTCACAAGGCAAACACTGGAATGCCTGGCCCATGTGTGCACCTGGTGGGTTTTTGCTACTTTTATTAATAGTCCCATGGCTGATGAAGTAAATGCATTCATCATTTGCATGTAAGTGAAGCCTCACTCAGTGAGCTGAGGCTCAGGGAGCTCTAGCTAGTCACCCAGTGGTCACCTGTTTAGTGAGCAGATATCTGAACCCTGGTCCCTCTAGTACAGGGTCTGCCTGTGTAGTGTCTCTACTCCTCCATCACCACAGTCAGTATGGGATAAATCCCCAGGAAAGGGTCTCACCATCTTGCCATCTGGGACATGTCTCAGCATATAGGTGGCCCTCAGCAACCACACATGTCCTCTCATGCCTCCTTGAGTGACACATACCCCTGCATTTGTCCATGACTGGAATATTCTCCATACCCTCCATATTCCTAATTCTACGTGTCCTCCCTGCAAAGGTGACTTTAGTTGTCATCCTCCAGGCCTCCTCGGCCCACTGTGAGTATTGTGATTAAGACTGGAGGCTCTGATGGTTGACACACTGGGTTTGAGTTTCCACTACTCAAGAGCTGTGTGACCATGGGCAGGTAACTTAATCTCTCTAAGCCTCAAGTTCCTTTTTTTTTTTTTTTTTGTAAAGTAGGAGTAATAGTAGAATCTAACTCAGAGGAAGTGAGAGTTAAATGAGGTGATACATAGTAACTGACCCCCAGCATATATCAAGGGCTCAGTGAAGGCCAGCTATTATGGTTGATTTGTTATTTGTTAGTATTTTTCCTATTTTCTCCCTCAGCAGCCTGGAAAAGCTCAACCCAGTCCACATTTCTGCTTTGTAATTGTGCCAAATTCTCAGCATGAAAATGCCAAAACAAGGGCAGGCAGAGACAAGGGTTATTTTAACTAGAACTGCCAGGAAAGGCCTCTCCAAAGAGGTGATATTTGGGAAGATCCTGAAAGAATGTGAAAGGGCGGCCAAGAAGAGATCTGGGGACAGTGTCCCAGTCTGAGGGAACTCCACATGCAAAATCTGGGAAAAGCTTGGCAGGTTCAGGTCAATGTGGCTGGAGTCAATGAGCAAAGGAAGAAAGGAAGGAGACAAGGTCACGCATAGTCCTCTGGGGTGGGTTGCATGGGGCCTTCCAAGCCATAGTTGAGGGGGGTGGGATTATTTTAAGCATGATGAGAACATCATTGCTTCACTAGCCATTTATTGAGCACTTATAACAGACCCTGCACTGCTCTAGGCCTGGTGATAGAGCACAAACAGGAGCTCATATTCTGGGAGTGGAGATGGATCATCCACAAGATACTAAGTCAGTGCAGAAGAGACTATCGGCAGGATCGTACAGGTTCTGAAGACAACAAAATAAAAGCAAGGAGAAGAGATGAGGGGTAGGTAAATTTTCGTGGGACAACCATGGAAAGCTTCCTGGAGGAGGACACTTTGGGGCGAGCCTGAAATGAAGCAAAGGATTGAGCCACAAGCACAACAAATGAAAAAATAATCAGAGGCCGGGCGCAGTGGCTCATTCCTGTAATCCCAGCACTTTGGGAGGCCGAGGTGGGCAGATCACCTGAGGTCAGGAGTGCGAGACTAGCCTGACCAATATGGTGAAACCACGCTTCTACTAAAAATACAAAAATTAGCCAGTCATGGTGGCATGTGCCTGTAATCCCAGCTACTTGGGAGGCTGAGACAGGAGAGTTGCTTGAACCCAGGAGGCAGAGGTTACAGTGAGCTGAAATGGCGCTACTTCACTCCAGCCTGGGCAACAAGAGTGAAACTCTATCTCAAAAAAAAAAAAAAAAAAAAAAAAAAAAAACAAATCAGAGAAGTTCTGATGGCAATAAGAGTAGAAAGGGTGGTGACTGCTAGATACTAACTCTGGCCTGGTGTGTATTCAACCCAAAGGGACACCAAAGGGACTCCTGCAAGCTATTAGTGATGAATATTGAAATGGATTCACGTTAAACATCTAAGGGTCTTCCATAATCATATCTATTCACGACTGTCCGTGGCAATCCAGCTTTGCTTGAAAAGACATGGCAACTGCAAAGATAATTTCAGTGCCCTTCTTGGCTCTCTCTGCCCTAAATCAACAGCAATTCCAAAAGCACTGCTCACCTCAGTTTTGTCCACAGACTCTCCTCATCTCTCTCCCGCTCTCCCAGCCCTCCGCTGTGTACATACCTGTGGCCAGAAGAGGTTGAGGATTGGATTCCCCATAGGGTGGGTTCCTAACACACACCCAGAGCACAGTCTTTTGGGTAGTTTTTGCCCTGCATCCAGCTAGATTTAAGGCTTCCTGCAGTTTTCCACGGCAATGACAAGTAGCACCTTAAGGTGTGCCAGGAAGTGGTGTCTCCCAGCTCTGTGAATAGGAATGAGGCGTCCCCTCTTTCTGTGGCCACCTGGAATATTCCTCACCCTGAGAGGTCTCCACGAGGTTACCTGTGTTTTGGAACACAGCCACTGGAGGCCTCTCAGGTCCTCAGCCTCTATATTGAAACTCACCCCTCCCGGGCTGTATGGCCCTGGGTGATGCCCTTACACCTGAGGACATCAAGGACCAAAATGTAAAATTCAAAAAGGAAGACAACAACTCCCTTGCAGGGGCTTTGTAAAGTGACAGTAAACATTTCTTTTGTTATCGTTGCTGTTGTTGTTGTTGAGACGGAGTCTTGCTCTGTCGCCCAGACAGGAATGCAATGGCGCGATCTTGCCTCACTGCAACCTTCGCCTCCCGGGTTCAAGCGATTCTCCTGCCTCAGCCTCCTGAGTAGCTAGGATTACAGGCGCACGCCACTACACCTGGCTAATTTTTGTATTTTTAGGAGAGATGGGATTTCACCATGTTGGTCAGGCTGGTCTCCAACTCCGGACCTCATGATCTGCCCGCCTTGGCCTCCCAAAGTTCTGGGATTACAGGCATGAGCCACCACGCCTGGCCGATAGTAATCATTTCTTTAATTCAATGTTTACCAAATGGTGGTCCCTGGACTACCAACTCAACTTCAGCATCACATGGAAATCTGTTGGAAATGTAAGCCATTAAGTCCCACTCGGATATACTGAATCAGAAACTCTGGTGGTGAGCCCAGCAGTCTGTGCTTTAACAAGCTGTTCCGGGGATATGGATGCTGATTCAACCTTGGGAACTGAGGCTCTAATTCAAAGTCCAGTGATTAAAATGGAAAAATACTCCTGCCTACCTTAAGAAAGGTGATGTAAAAATGCTCAGCACAGGGCCTGACACGTGACGCTAAATATGTAAGAGCTGCTATTATTAGTAGTCTTATTATTGAGATCATCATCATCACCACAAGGCTATTCATAAAGGGCTGTGGGACTATAATTCAGTGACGTCACTTTGCAGGGATACTGGCACTATTTGTCAAAACATAAATGTAATGACTCACTGACTCAGCAAGTAGCCTCGAGGATAGTGATTAACAACTTGACACAGAGACACCCTATTCCACCATTTGACAAATTCGTTTATTTAAAACAATAAAAACAGCACTTATAGGGGGGCTTCATAAAATACAAGTAGGTAGCTTGACACACTTTCACAGGTCACATGATTTAACACCTGGGGACATCAGGACTAACTGCTCTCAGGCCTGAATGGTGAGTGGAGTGGCATGATTTCAAGTTCATAGAATGGTATGTCACTATTTGTCTTACATTCTCAGGAAGCAGGACCTCACTCCCCTCCTGTCTTCCCTTCTGGCCTTCCTGGTAGCCATAACCATGTACAAATACGTGACCATGAGATGTTCCTGCCTGATGTCCAGTGGCTCAGGGACCACATCTGGACCTCATCAAGACACCATCAGCCCATCATCTGAACTTACAGCGCTCAAGGCAGCACTAAATTCTGGAGAAGTGTGAGAACTCGAACTACTGAGGTCAAAGGAAGTGACACCAAGTGGCAGAGGTGAGAAAATATAATGAAGGCAACATTTCAAGTCCAGTGCAGAGAAGTGGTCAATGGGCTAAACTTCAGAGTCACATCACCTGGGTTCAAATTAGAAAGCTGCATCTTACCAGCTGCAGGAACTTGGACAAGGACTCAATCTCTCTGTGCCTTAATGTCCTCATCTGTCAAATGGGCATAATAATGGAACTCATCTGTGGTGCTATGATATATATGTGTGTGTGTGCGTGTGTGTGTGTGTGTGTGTGTGTGTTCATGGTTCCTGGCTCATAATTCCCATAGCCCTTGTTACAGTCGTTGGTTATAATGTTAGGTGTGTTAGGTCTCAGGGGCAGGCCTCTGACCCTCTCCTGCCTTTTCACTCTGTTCCCCTGCCTTCCTGATTCCCAGGAGAGTATCCCATCCATACTCTGGGGGAATGAGTGCTGACATCATGAAGCCCCCCTTAAAAATCCAAGAGGACTGGGTTCCTGGAGCTTCTGGATAGATGAAGACGTGGAGTTTTCTAGAGGATGGTGCACCCAGGGAGGGCATGGAAGCTCTGTGCCCCTTTCCCCATACCTCACCCTATGTGTCTCTTCATCTGTATCCTTTGCAATATCCTTTATAATAAACAAGTAAATGTAAGTAAGTGTTTCCCTGAGTTCTGAGAGCCACTCTAGCAAATTAATCAAACCCAAAGAGGGGATCATGGGAACAACTTGAAGCCGGTCAGTCAGAAGTTCCAGAGTCCCAGACTTGAGGCTGGTGTGTGTGTGTTGAGTAGGAGAAGTCTTGGGGACTGAGCCCTCAAATTGTGGGATCTGACATTATCTCTGGTTAGATAATGTTGCAACTAAATTAGAGGACACCCAGCTGGTATCTGCTGCTTGATGTTTGCAGAAAAAAAACCCACACATTTGATCACGGAAGTCTTCTGTGTTGGTTGTTAATATGGTGTGAGACTAGAGGGGAAATGTGGTTATAGAGAATTTTCCATCTACACCATCTCATAGAGCTGTTGTTGGGGTCAGCTGCTTTGGTACATGCCAAGTGCTAAGTATCAGCTTTCACTGTTCACAAAATTAACAGTTTTGTAAATGCTTTGGGTAAAAATAAGGTGATGAACTTTCAAAAATGTGAATTTCTTCTGCTTTTTAAGCATTTAAGAAACTGTAATATTTGACTTCTGATTTTAATCAAATGCTTAAAAGTACAATTTTTCAACAATTAGTAAGAATTTACATAAATTTAACTAAACTCTTAGGCTTCAAATTTCTATTGTTTTATTTATTTAGAGAATGTTTAAAGGAGCAATCATTAAAGGAAGGGAAACATTGCATGTTCTCATTTATATGTGGGATCTAAAAATTAAAATTGAACTCATAGAGATGGAGAGTAGAATGATGGTTACCAGAGGCTGGGAAGGGTAGTAGCGCTTGGGGGCAGAGTGGAAACTGTTAATGGGTACAAAATTATGTTAAAATGAATAAGATCTAGTATTTCATAGCCCAACAGGGTGATAACAGTTAACAATAATTTTGTGTGCATTTAAGAATAACTAAAAGAGTATAATTGGAATGTTTGTAACAAAAGGAAATGATAAATTCTTGAGGTGGATACCCCATTTATGCTTATTACACATTGTATGCCTTTATCAGTACATCTCTTATATACATAAGAATATATACCTACTATTTACCCATATAAATTAAAAATAAAAATATAAAAATAAAAAGATTGTACTACAGTATGGGCCCACATCATCCATTTCCAGGTAATTAATTACACTTTGCAAATTTTTTCAACTCCTCTCCTTTCCATGAATTCAGGAATTCCTCTGTGAATTAAACTTTTAAACCAGTGCTCTGAGTATCACATATGTTGTAGCGTAGTCAGGAGTTGCTTTGATTTTTTTGACCAAATAAATTTTTCATTGACTCGTAGAGAATTATTCCCTGACTCTTGAATTATAACCCTTCTCACGCTTGTATGGAAAATGTCTGGTTTTCCTTGGCTCCTCTATCGGGTATTGTGGGAGGGACTGTGTAAGAGAGTAATCAGGTAGGACTCCTTCATCCTTCCTTTAAGGTCTTACATTTGATTTAA
Source organism: Homo sapiens (assembly GCF_000001405.40). Lineage (NCBI taxonomy): Eukaryota > Metazoa > Chordata > Mammalia > Primates > Hominidae > Homo > Homo sapiens. The sequence goes on from NC_000023.11 coordinate 145,509,080, forward strand.
TTAACTGACCCCTTGTATAACTCTCATTCTACTGTCTTCTCTCCTTCCATTTCTACTGCTGACTATATGCTCTTCCATTGTGACATTAATTCAATTCAATATCTAAAAAGTTTTAATAGAAAATTTAGAACTTTGGTGACTAATAGTGTTAGTATTTTTTTCCCTCCAAATATCATGTAGAGAAGTAATCCCCAGTGTTGAAGATGGCGACTTGTGAGGTGTTTGGATCATCAGGCTGAATTTCTTAGCCAATGAATGGCTCAGTGCCATCCGCTTGGTAATGAATGAGTTATCCCTCTGATTTTATGGGAGATGTGGTTGTTTAAAAGTGTGTGGCACTTCCTCCCTCTCTCTCTTGTTCCCACTATGACCATGTGACATCTTGGCTTCCTGTCACCTCACACCATGATTATCAGCTCCCTGAGGCCCTCACCAGAAGCAGATGCCACAACCATGCTTCCTGTATAGCCTGAAGAATGATGAGCCAATTAAACCTCTTTTCTTTATAAATTACCCAGTCTCAGGTATATCTTTATAGTTATTCATGAATGGACTAATACAGAATATTGGTACCAAAGAGTGGTCATTGCTATAAAGATACCTGAAAATGTGGAACTGGCTTTGGAACTGAGTGACAGGCAGAAGTTGGAAGAGTTTGGAGGACTCAGAAGAAGACAGAAAACTGAGGGAAGGTTTGGAACTTCTTAGAGATGGGTTAAATGGCTGTAACCAGAATGAAATGGCGATAAGGACAGTGATGTCCAAGTTGACAAGGTCTCAGATGGAGATAAGGAACTCATTGGTAACTGGAGCAAAGGTAACCCTTATTATGCCTTTGTGAAGAACTTTGCTGCATTGTCTTCATGCCCTAGGGATTTAAGAGTGATGACTTAGGGTATCTGGTAGAAGAAATTTCTAAGTAGCAAAGAATTCAAGATGTTACTTGGCTGCTTCTAATAGCCTATACTCAGGTGTGGGAGAAAAGGAATGACTTAAGTTAGGACTTATATGTGAAAGGGAGTAGAGTGTAAAAGTTTGGAAACTTTGCATCCTGGCATCATGATAGGGAAGGAATCCATGCAGGCTGTGGAGCAACCACTTGCTATATATAGTAGCATGACTGAAAAGGAGCCAAGTGCTAATACTCAAGACAATGGGAGAAAGGACTAGAAGGGATTTTAGAGATCTTTGGGACACCCCCTCCCATCATAGGCCCACAGGCCTCTAATGAAAGAATGGTTTCATGGGCCCAGCCTAGGGTCACTTTGCCCTGCTCAGTCTCAGGACACTGCTCCTCACGTCCCAGTTTCTCCAGTTCCAGCCTTGGCTCAAAGGGCCCCAGATACTTCTTGTGCCACTGCTTTGGAGAGCAAAAGCTACCATAAACCTTGATGACTTCCATGTGGTATTAAGTCCTTGGGCACTCAGGATGCCAGAGTGAAGGGGGCTTAGTAGCTTTTTCCTAGAATTCAGAAGATATATGGAAAAGTATGAGTACTCAGGCAGAGGCCTGCTCCAGTGGCAGAGCCCACACAGGGAAACTCTCCTTCCCTTCTCCAGATCCCAGAATGATAGATCCACTGGCAGCTTCCATCCTGTGCCTGGAAAAGCCACAGGCACTCAACACTAGCCCATGAGAGCAGCCACGGAGGCTGAACCCTGCAAAGCCATGAAGGCAGAGCTGCCCAAGGCTGTAGGATCCAACCCTTGCATCAGTGTGCCCTGGATGAGGGACATGGAGTCAAAGGAGATCATTTTGAAGCTTTAAGTTTCAATGATGGCCCTGCTGGGTTTCAGACTTGCATGGGGCCTGTAGCCCCTTTCTTTTGACCAATTTCTCCCTTTTGGAATGGTAATGTTTACCCAATGCCTGTATCACTGTTGTACCTTGGAAGTAACTAAGTGTTTTTTGATTTCATAGGTTTATAGGTGAAAGGAGATGAATCTCAGATAAGACTTAGAACTTTTGAATTGATGCTGGGATGAGTTGAGACTTTTGGGGTATTGGGAAGGTACAATTGAATGTATTTTGCAATATAAGAAGAACATAAGACTTGGGGGCCCAGGGGTGGAATGATATGGTTTGGATCTGTGTCTTCTCCAAATCTCATGTTGAAATGTGATCCCCAATGTTGGAGGTGAGGCTTGTTCAGAGATGTTTTTGTCATCGAGGCAGATCCTCCATGAATGGCTTAGTACCATCTCCTTTGTAATGAGTGAGCTCTCCCTCTAATTTCCTGTGAGATCTGGTTGTTTAAGCCTGTGTGACACTTTCTCCTGTTCTCTCTCTTGCTCCTCCTCTAGCCATGACAAGCTGGCTCCCAGTCTCCTTCTGCCACGATTGTAAGCTTCCTGAGGGCCTCACCATGAGCACTAGGCTTCCTGTACAGCTTGCAGAACCATGAGTCAATCAATCCTGTTTTCTTTATAAATTACCTAGACTCAGGCATTTCTTTATAGCGATGCAAGAATGGACTGATACAATGACCTTTTGAGAAACTTAGGATCTCCCATTATTGCTTCATCAAAGGGCTATACCTTCTCTTCACCCCTCTAAGCCATCATCTTCCTTTTTTACAACCTTCAAACTTCCCTTCAGCTCCTTTGAATTCCTTGATCTATCCCCATTCAACATCCCTACCTTCTCCATCCCTCGATTCACCTCTGCCAAAACTTTCCCATCTCATTTGGGCCCCTCAACTCCCTATAACCACTTAAGTTCTAGGCCCCCCTCTTCTTCTTGAGAGCTCTTGATGGACTTGGACCCCAAGATCAACCACTGAAAGGCTGGAAAATCTAACCGGAAATAGGTTGGATGTTTTATCCACTTAGATGGTCTTTCGAAACACCTAGATGGCCACCTGGTGTATCCTCAGTAACTCATTCAAAATTAAGTCCACAGATTCCATAATATTTTATGCATCAGGTCCAAAAAAATTTAAGGGTCTCTTCCAAAAATATTGGTGGGGACACTTCTGCCCTCATATTGAGTAGGTAACCTCAAATTGCTCCATCTACCAGAAATGCAATCCCAATAAAAAAAAAAATAGACCAGATGTAGTGGCTCATGCTTGTAAGCCCAGCACTTTGGGAGGATGAGACAGGGGTATCTTTTGAGCCCAAGAGTTTGAGACCAGCCTGGAAAACATAGCTAGACCTTACCTCTACCAGAAATTTAAAAAAAAATGCAGAATGTGGTGGTGTGTGCCTGTAATTCCAGCTGCTTGTGATGAAGCTCAGGGCTGAGGTGGGAAGATCGACTGGGACCAGGAGGTTGAGTCTGCAGTGAGCCACAATCATGCCACCGAACTCAAGCCTTGGCAACAGAGACCCTGCCCCTGAAAGCAATAACAATAAAAAAGTAAAGGTGGGCAAGAACCCACTCTTTATCTATACCAATGAGTTAAATTTTAAAAATTATAGTTATAATCTATTTATGCCTGTCTGTGTGTGTGTGTGTGTGTGTGTGTGTGTGTGTGTGTGTGTATAAAATGTATGTATGTTAAATACTGGTACTGGTCACAATCACAAAAGACACAATCTTGAAAGATATAATCCTGGAATGTTGAAATCCTGGAAGACAAATTCTGGGTAAGGGATTAGTGCATTTTCGGTTGCACACAGGATAGTTGCATCGTGTTAAGCAGACTATTAGTTTGTTAGGATATTAATGATGGTTTAAGGAGATATGTATGGGTGCCAAGTTGACAAAGGGCAGATTTGTAGACTTAATTTTAGATGTCCACGTGACTGAATTACAGAATATCTAGAAACCAGGAAAGCATTATTCTGGGTGTTTCTGTGACAGTGTTTCCAGAGGAGATAAGCACGTGAGTCTGAGTGGAATAGGTGGAGAAGATCTAACTCACCTTAATGTTTCAAGTGTTTTAAAGATCATAGAAGTGAAAAACCAGGTGAAAAATGCAAGAAATTTCCCTTGCCCAATTTTTCAACCATATAGGACTTCTGCCTCTTCACACATAGTGACATGCTTGCCTTCAAAAAATGTCCTTCATCACAGAATTTAAGAAAAAAAATTTTTTTGACAAGCTCAGCGACCTTCAGAAACAAAGACACTTGCTGATATATAAGTTCTTCCAGTGTTACAAAGTGCATTAAAGGGTGGCCTACTCTTGGTTAGGGACTCGACTGTTGAAGAAAATAGACATATTTACCACACACGAAAACTAGGGCATGCTTCACTTTAGCTAATGGATAGCACTTTCAAAACTGTCCCCACTGTTTGCTCTTTAAAAAATCAACTATATACAATCCATGGCCCTGTTGGATCTGAAATTTCTGAAACTCAACCACCCATTTATGTAGTAATGACTGGAAAAGTGAAACACTTTATAAATGCTTATTTGAAGATTTGTTGGACTTGGCAGAAGAAACTGAGTTTCAATGGAATCCCCAAACCATAATGGCAGATTTTGAATTAGGTGTGATCAAGGCTTCCAAAAGTAAATTTCAAGGTTTTATCTATAGTTTCCTCCCCCACCCACACCCCCCAATTCAGCCCAGTGCATTTGGCATAAAATGCAGTGAGTGGATTGGCCACATGATATGGCAATGACAAAAACTTCAGTCTAAACATGTCATTTATCTGCATTGGCATTTCTTCCAGGTGACAAAATTCCATAAGCATTTAATGAATTAAAACCACATTTCCCTGAATAAGCCAGCAAAGTTACTGACTGGTTTGAAAATAATTGTGTGCACAGTAGGATAAGAAGACACTTAAGCAATAGTGTTGCTGTTTGATCACCAACATCGTTTCCGCCAAATTTGTTCTCTGTATATGGGTGCATGAGGAATTTCTGCATACCCAAAGCAACATAGAAGCATGGCACAGAATATGGGAAAATTTAATAGGGAATGCTCATGTTGATGTAAATTGAATCATACAACAATTTCAAAAAGAGCAGTTCCACATAGAAAATGAATGTGAACGTATTCTGCAAGAAGAACTATGCCCTAAAAGAAAAAAGCAGCCATTAATCAAAATGCAAGACTTCAAAATACAGTTAATGATTGTGAAAGTTAGCCAGCTTTTATGGACTACTTCTGTGCAATTGTTCATATCTAACTTAGTAACACATTTTCTCATATATCAATTTTTTAGTTTTAGATTTTTTCTTTTTTAAGTTTTTTAATCACCATTTCAAATTGTCAGCATTACTTTTTTTAAAATTCACTCTGCTATGTATTTCATCTTCACATCATTTCCAATAATAGAAGTATAAATTGCGTAAAGACTTTTAGAGAATTCTAATCAGTTTATGCACTTTTTGCAAATTGGACTCTAGGAAAGTACATTATAACAATATTGATTTTGTGTATAAGCATTGTGCATATATATAGAAACATTGATACTTCCTCAAGAAATGAAGAGATACCATGTTTGTACAACTGCATTTGTAAAAGATGAAATTGCTCGAGATCAAAGTTCTCTGGACTATCGCATATGTGGTGGTGACATATTGTGACTTTGATGTTTTCATCAAAAGACTTAGATTGACATGGAATTTCAAAAAACAGCAGTCATAAAACGAGGTGGACATAATTACAAACCATAGTAATATATACCCATATGTTTTACTTTTGACCTATTTCTTTCCGAATACTGGTTATCTGCTCATAATTGTTATACATGTGTGACTGTTCTTAGGATATTTAAGTGTTTATGCTTGCAAAAATATGTTATTATTGTACATTTTATTGTGGAAAGTGGTCAATGAAGTATTCCATCATGTTTTTATGATTCTCAAATAAATCCCCCCTTTAAAGATCTAAATAAATGCCTTCTAAAATTTTTTTTAAATAATTTTTTCAAGAAACATGTTTTCAGGATTTTCACCCTTCAGAGTTTCATTGTTTGGGATTATAGCACTTGAGATTGTGTCTTTCAGGATTATGGCCCAAACCCATTATTTACTTACCCCCAGATAATATTGCCATATTAGAATACAAAATGCATTAAAGGAACACTATTTTGATTCTCTTAGAGATTTAAAAAATGGTTGTATAAATTAACTATTCCTGTAAACTTCAGAAATTAAGGAAATTAACCATCTACTATTTTCAAAAGTACTACTATATAAGTTAGCCCAAATATTTTAAAAACTAAAGTTCATATAATTTAGGTAAATCATAACAAATGAGACTAACTATAATGTAGTTGGCCTAAAAAAAGTATTCTGAGTTATCAAGGTTTTTTATATATATACATTTATATATATTTATATATTTTTATATATACATTTATATATATTTATATATTTTTATATATACATATTTATATATTTATATATACATATTTATATATTTATATATACATATTTATATATTTATACATGTATTTATATATTTATATATATTTGTTTTTTATATATATTTATATTTTTTATATATATTTATATATGGCACACATATATATATAGGCATATATATATTGGCATATATAGGCATATATAGGCATATATATATTATATAATATATATATATATATATAAAATAGGCACATATAGGCATATATTTTTATTCTACTTGGGATAGTCTTCCTAAGTTTGTATAGGTTTACTGATTGAATGACCTAGTCTTAAATATAAAAAAATGAAAATTTATCTTTAACCGAATTAAATTACTATTTTGAGAAACATTATTTCAACGCTAATTATCTTTTGTAACATGTCATCTAGAAAACAGTTTTCAAGATATTTTGGTAAGCTAAAACGTTAGGTTTATGTTATATAAGGTTAATTAATGATTATTTGTTAAATATGTGGATTGTTTCTAAACAAGATAAAATGCTAAAATATTAATTTCTATGCATATTTTTAAGGCTATATATGTTTGGGTCTGTTGATGAGTGCATTCATTTTTGTCATCTTGAAAAGTTGTAGTATAGGGGATGTTTATGGTTATAAAAAGTTGTGCAATGGCCAGTCCAGGTGGCTCACGCCTGTAATCCCAACACTTTGGGAGGCCGAGGCGGGTGGATCACGAGATCAGGAGTTCGAGACCAGCCTGGCCAACATGGTGAAACCCCGTCTGTACTAAAAATACAAAAATTAGCTGGGTGTGGTGGCGGGCGCCTTTAATCCCAGCTACTCGGGAGGCTGAGGCAAGAGAATCATTTGAACCCGGGAGGCAGAGGTTGCAGTGAGCCGAGATTGCGCCACTGCACTCCAGCCTGGGCAACAGGTGAGACTGTCTCAAAAAAAAAAAAAGTTCTGATATGTATATTTATGAGCTTTGCTAATTTGCTACGAAATACTGATGCGTAACAGAGTTCACAAACATCCATATCCCAATTTTCTCTCTAAAATGAAACCTACTATGAATAAAAATTATAATCAATATATGTGAATAAACTCTACTAGGAGCAAAGTAGCATAGTCGAACAACTTTGTATGCAAGATAAACAAGATATGTTTTATTAAGGAAAAATAGTTTTGTCTTAAAGTAAAATGACTAGTAGTTTCAAAATAAAAAGTGGTGGGATATAGTTCAAAACCTAAATTATATAAAAAGCTGTAAAGGAGAATTTTATTTATTTTTTATTTATTTATTTATTTTTGAGACAAAGTCTCGCTCCCAAACCCAGGCTGGAGTGCAGTGGCACAATCTTGGCTCACTGCAACCTCCACCTCCTGGGTTTAAGCAATTCTCCTGCCTTAGCCTCCCAAGTAGCTGGGACTACAGGCAGGTGCCTCCATGACCGGCTAATTTTTTGAATTTTTAGTAGAGACGGAGTTTCCCCATGTTAGCCAGGGTGGTCTCGATCTCCTGACCTCGTGATCCACCCACCTCGGCCTCCCAAAGGGCTGGGATGACAGGCATGAGCCACTGCGCTCGGCCATTTTATTTTATTTGTTGTGATCAGAGCTGGCTAAGGAATAATGGGTATATACATACTTTCACAAAAAGAACTAAAATATAAAATATACTAATGCAAAAGTAGAATGTTATTTTCTCTTTGTTAAAATGACAAAATTTTCTTGCATTATTAGCCTGGTCATAGTAAGAAATTGTAAAAGTTGTTTTCATTTCCTTCCAAACCATCTGACTGAAAGACAAATATTTTATGTCACAGAGTAAAATGCTACCTCAAATGTGTAGAAACAGGTAAATACAGAGATACAACGATACATAGCTGAAGATCAGATTATCTGGAGCAGGAGACACTGGAGCTACTAACTGGTGGTACATTTATTTATTTATTTATTTATTTATTTATTTATTTATTTATTTATTTATTTATTTTGAGATGGAGTCTCACTCTGTCGCCCAGGCTGGAGTGCAATGGCATGATCTCGGTTCACTGCAACCTCTGCCTCCCGGGTTCAAGTGATTCTTCCGCCTCAGCCTCCCGAGTAGCTGGGACTACAGGCGCCCACCACCACACCCGGCTAATTTTTGTATTTCTAGTAGAGACGGGGTTTCACCCATATTGGCCAGGCTGGTCTCGAACTCCTGACCTCATGATCCACCCGCCTCAGCCTCTCAACGTGTTGGGATTACAGGCATGAGTCACCGCGCCCGGCAACTGGTGATACTTTTAATCGGTAATTTTGATGAATTCCTAAGAGCTGAGTGTGGACACGGTGAGCATGAGAAACCCCTCACGGCTGCAGTATCAGGGAGGCCAGCACACTTACATGGGTTTTCCTTTCAGGAACCCCGCAGGTTTTCATGATGTAGAGCCAGGAAAAATCTCCTGTGGCTCTGGCAGGAGGAGAAAAGTATCCATTTTTAAATAGTCCAGCACATTCTTGTATTAGGACTCTCCAGTGAAAAACAACCAATAGGATGGCTATACATGTAGAGATTTATTACAAGAAATTGGTTCATGTAATTTTGAAAGCTGACAAGTCCCAAGATTTGCACTCAGTAAGCTGGAGACCCAAAAGAGTCAATGGTGTGGGTCCAGTGTCAGTCAGAAAGCCTGAGAATCAGGAGAGCTGATAGTATGTTTCAGTCTGAAGGTCTCCAGGCTCAAGAACTAAGAAGAGCCAATGCCTCAGTTTGTGTCTAAAGGCAGAAAAAGACTACTGTCACAGCTCAAAGGCAGTCAGGCAGAAAGAGTTCCCTCCTATTTAGCCATTTTGTTCTATTCAGACCTTCAATGGATTAAAGGAGGCTCACAGACATTAGGAAGGCAATCTACTCTACTCAGTCTGCTGAACCAAATGTTACCCTCAGCCAGAAACACCCTCATGGATAGAGCCAGAATAATGTTTAATGAAATATCTGGGCACCCCATGGCCAGTCAAAGTGAAACACAAAATTAGCCATCACAAATCTCTGTAACAAAGGCCTACTCTCTACAGAAACTGATTTTTACTAAAGTCTTATCATACCCAGGAAGCAGACAATTTCTTAACTTCATCCCCCTCTAGCCTTCTCATCTTACCCAATGGAGAAGGAAAGGTAAGAAACGCTTGTAAAGGCCACAGCTCAGACACATACTAAAAGACTGAGATTTAATAAGATAACAGAATGTGGCTCCTCCTCTATACCTTACCACCAAACAGACAGTGCTCTAGGACACTTGCTCTAGCTGAAAGAGCAACTAAGCATGCAAGCTCTATTTAAGAATGTGTTCTTAGGAAACCCCAAAGACAAGAGAGACAAAAACAAGAACCCCAGAGGAATTTGAAGTTTCTCACACCCAAAGCTACAGCAAAAATGAGATAAACCCAACTCCTAACCATACTAACATAAAACCTGGCAATGTTGACCTTTACCTAAGCTCTGTAATCCTGGACACAGTTACCATTTTAAAAACATCACAACCTGCTTATTGTTCTGGGAAACAGCTTATTGCAAAGAATCATCCTTCTCCATATGACTTATCTAAGACTTGTAGGAAACCCATTTGTTTACCTAAGACAAGGCCAGGCACAGACCTTCCAAATTCCCATTCTAAGTGATTAATTAGCTGAAGTGTTTGTTCCCACCAATTATTGCAAACAAAATGCCTGTTAACCTTGACTTGAGAAAATCTTAGTTAAGCATCTTTCCTTCCCATAGTGTCCTGAGGTTTCTCTCAACCCTAAGTTTAAACAATCATTGACATACAGAACAACCAGTCCTAATGATTACTACTGAAAATTGGCTGGCATCAAGGAAAGAAATTTCTGGTTCCAGTTACAGTCACACATGTAATAAACATGGAAATCTTATGACCAATCTGATTATGTCACTGGTTTATCTCACTTGCCAATAACCAGTTCTTTCTAGCCTTATTTACTCTTTACTATGAAAGAGAATTTCTTTCGTGCTTACTTTTGAGACACTTAACAGATTTTGTGCATTCTCCCTATTGCAATAGTCTTTTCAAATAAAGTCTGTCTTTACTGAAGTCTGGAGTTTGTAAATTTCCTCAACCTCACACTAAAAGCTTATTCGCCTCAGTTGCTATATACCCTATATATCATGTTGGAATTTCAACAAACATTACAAGTCTAAAGGCAAGAAAAAAAAAACCATCTTCAGAGCCAAAACAAACATTAGAACCAGTCTCAGGTATGGCAAAGATTTGGGGATTTTCAGGTAGGGAATGTAAAATAACTTTGATTAATATGTTAAGGGCTCTAATGGAAAAACTAGACAATATGCAAGAACTGATGGGTAAAGTAAGCAGAGATGGAAATTTTAAGTATTAAAAGAAAATGCCAGAAATCAAAAACACTAACAGAAATGAAATGGTCTCATCAGCAGACTGAACACAACTAAAGAAAAAAGTCATTTAACTTTAAGATATGTCAATAGAAGCTTTCCAAATTGAAATGCAGAGACAGAAAACAAATGAAAGAAACAGAACAGCCAAGAACAATGGGATAATTTCAAAAGTTGTAGCATATACATGTATTAAAATGTATAGCATAGCAGAATGAGAAGAAAGAGAAAATGAATCAGAGGTAATATTATTACATCAAATATTATTATCGTTTGATGTAATAATGGCTGAGAAGTTTCCAAAAAGTTTGGCAGATACCAAACCACAAATACAGGAAGCTCAGAGAACACTAAGCACAATAAATACCAAAAAATATATATCCAAGCATAGCATATTCAAACTACAGGAAACCATAGACAAAGAGAACATTTTCAAAAATACCAACGGAGGAAACAAACAAAAAAATCCACTTTACCTATTGGAGAACAAGAGTAAGATTCACAGTGGACTTCTCATTTAAAAAAATAGAAGCCGGCCAGGCACGATGGCTCACGCCTGTAATCTCAGCATTTTGGGAGGCTGAGGCAGGCGGATCACCTGAGGTCGGGAGTTGGAGACCAGCCTGACCAACGTGGAGAAACCCCACCTCTACTAAGAATACAAAATTAGCCAGGCGTGGTGGCACATGCCTGTAATCCCAGCTACTTGGGAGGCTGAGGCAGAAGAATCACTTGAACCCTGGAGGTGGAGGTGGTGATGAGCTGAGATCGTGCCTTTGAGTGACAAGAGCGAAATTCCGTCAAAAAAAAAAAAAAAAGCCAAAGAGTGGAGTTACACAGTTAAAATGTTGAAAGAAAATAAATACCAACCTAAGAATTCTATATCAAGCAAAATTACTCTTAAATGGTGAAGGAGAAATATAGACTGTCTCAGAAAAATCTGAAGGAGTCATTACCCACACATCTGCCCTGTTAGAAGTGTCTAATATTAATCAGGGTAAAGAAAATGTTGTATAGGTAAGAACTTCAGATTCGCCTAAAGAAATAATGAGAAGGAACATATGAAGGCAGAATAAAATTTTTTCTTTTTTATTCTTAATTGATCTAATTAGATAACTGTTCAAAGTAATAGCAGTAACAATGTATTGAGTAGTTATAGCATATGAATAAGTGAAATGAATGACCCACTGTTATAAGGGACATGAGGGAAGAATTGGGAATACCATATTACAAGTTACCTTTACTACCCATGAAGTGGTATAATGTTATTTGAAAGTTGACTTAGATCAATAATGAATTTATACTGCAAACTCTAGGGCAGACACTAAAATCATTTTCAAAAGAAATATATTTGGTATGTTAAGGGAGAAGAGAAAATGGAAATGTATAAAATACTCAATTAAAACCAGAGAAAACAGAGTAAGAAAGAAGGAAAAAAACAAATAATAAGTTGCAACTAATAGAAAATAGTTACAAGCATGGGGGATATTAATCCAACTGTAACAATAATCACTTTAAAAACAAATGGTCTAAATACCTTAAATAACAGATATTGCCATGGTGGATATAAAAAGAAAGACAAGAACCAACTATATGTTGTTCTACAAAAAAAAATGACGTTTAGAAAATGTATAACATTACAATTTGTAAAAAGAAAATTGAAATGAGCTAGGGAAAAATATCTGAACCACAAAAACCTTTTTTAAAAAACATTCAGTTAGCATTTGACTAAGAAGAAGAAGAAGAAAACAAATTAATTCATAAAAAGAGAAAGACTGTTGTAAAATGATGTTAATTATCTCCAGTCTGGTACACAGATAAGTCAAAAATAGACTGATTTCATATTTATTTGTGAAAAAATTCCCCAGTATCTAAGCACCCACATTAAAAGTCTGTTTAACAGTAGCCACAGTTGGGATAGTTGAGGGGTAAGAAAAATCATTATATTCGCTTAGGAAAGTAATTGATACTTCAAATAGAATGTTCAGGAATACAGGTAAGAATAAATTTAATTGCTCAAAAGTCCTATCTCCTGGTAAAAATCTATTTTGTTTTAACTTGAGTTTCTTTTCACAAGCTCATTTTAATATTGAAACAAAAATATATATACATCTATTATGTACCCACAAAATTAAAAATAATAAAAGGTATTGAAATGAATAGGATGTGTAAGAAAGTTCTACTCATTTATATTTCAAGATCTTCTACTCCATTTGATTTGATGTTTCTCAGTCCAAACAGCTGTGATCCCATGGCCTCATGAAGTATTTCAGTCCCACACTTATTTATACCTATGTTTTTCCATATGTCTTCTTTCTGCTTTTTATTGAATATGCAAATTCAATGATTTAAAATCAGATCTAATATTCAAGAAATATTTATTGAATACCTACTTTGTGCCAGGTATTCTACTGGACAATTTGGGATACAACAATAAACACAATAGACAAAATGCCTGTTTTTCTGGAACTACACTGGAGAAGGTCAATATCTTAAATTTTACACATCAGCTTTTATTTAATCCCTCTTGATAATTATATTTAGTATTTAAAAAATATTTTATGCATAAAGAAACTGAGTCCTAGAGAGGTCAAGTGACTTGTAAATATCACATAGCTAATAAAAGGCTGGGTCAAGTTCATAACTCAGTTTTGCATTTGACTTTCAGGATAACTTCAAGATACGGCATTGTTCTTGTTACAGGAATGATGATGCTACATTTGAGTAAGAAATGTTTCTAAAAGCAAATTGGAAAATGACCAAGCACACAGCTACTGAGTCCCATCTACTTGTTCAATCTTTTAGGATTTAATGGCCATTCACTGATTTCTGTTGCCTTTCTTTTTTCCAGTACTTAGCACAGACATACCATCTTCAGACAGATGCTGAAGTCTGTATGAGAATCAGAATAGTTCAGGCACTTAGACCCAGTATTTGGGAAAGGGATTGATTTATAGAGAATCCGACATACATAGATGAATGTATATAGTGGATCTTAAATCATAAGGAAAAAGTCCTTAGGACTAAAATACATGAGAATGAAGTAAAGCAATGTATTATCTTGGCATGACAGGTCATATTCCAATCAGAAAATAATTTTTCTAATAATCCATCATTTTGGAACTATGCAAAAAGTAAGCATTTTAGAATAATTATATACCTTGTTATTATAGATTAGAATGTATGTCTACCTTTTTATAATTTCCTTTTTTGTTAGAAGTTAGATAACAGTATGTTGATTACATACAGTGAAAGACAACAATAAATAGTAAAAACAAAAATAGACCAAACATTCCATGGTGGGTTTTGTTCTGTTTTTGCTGTAGTCTCTTCTTTGTTTTGTTTTGTTTTATATGGTTTCCCTTGAATGATTTATTGAACTCATATGGATTTACCTTCTTGCTATACTTCAGTAACTCCTATTCTGAATTTTCTTCTAAAATCTGAGGTCATATTTTCAACTGCTAGCTGGACATCTCCAATTACTCAGAGGCAACTAAAACTCAATGGAACTAAAAGTAAATTAATTAATCTTACCCCACAGCCATCTCTCTTTTATATTAGCCTAAACCAGTTCATGTCTCTACCATCTATCTCTATCATCTATCACATATATATATATGTGTATATATACGTAATATATATGTGTGTGTGTGTATCTAATCCATTGTTAGTATGTCAACAAGTATTTTCAATTTCATTTTCATAACTCAAATGGACCCTGCAAATATATCCACAATGCTTTTGTTCATGTGATACTCAGCTCTTGGCCAAACGTCTGAAATATTTATCTATTTAGTGTTCTTACCCCCAGTGTCTCCCTGTGCAAATCCATTCTTTATGCTACCATGAGAATTAAGCTAGAAAACAAACCTGATAATGTCACTCCTCTACTAAGGACACTTCAATGTTTCCCTGTCATCCTAAAGTCTAAACTTTCTAGCATTGCATTCAGGGCCTTTCACCACTTTTTTTCCTCAGCTTACTTCTATTGTCTTCTGGTAGACTAAGAAGTTTGGACTTTATCATAGGTCATGCGGATTCATGATAAATTTTAAGCATAAGACTGATATGGAAAAAAATTCCATGTTAGAAATGTCACTCCAGCTGTAGTGTGTAGAAAAATTTGGAAGCAGTTTTCCTTACGCATTTCCCCTAGTTTGTGTATCAGGAATTTCTGCCAGCGGTCCGAATTTTCCTCTTTTGGAGCTGCATTTTGCACATCTAATTTCTCTTTACCCAACTGCCCTTCGGATTATTAAAAGACAGTTTTTATGTCCGTCAAGAAGTTATCATAAAAACTTTGGCTTCTTTTCCAAGTGAGATGCGTCTACCCAGAAAAGAGACATGAGTTGACTTGCAGTTTACAAGGATCACAACCTGGCTACTGTGTTGACAATAGATTGTGAGAGAGCAAGGAGACCAGCGAGAAGGCTATGGCAATAATCCAGATAGACAATGGTGGCATGAATTATGAAGGTAGCATTGGAGGCAGTGCGAAATTGTAGGATACTGATACATGTTAAAGATAAAACAAACAATACGTACCACTGTATTGAATATGGCTTGTAAGAGAAAGAGAGCAGTTAAGGGGGACTCCGAAGTTTTGAACCTAAGAAATTGATAGAATATCATTGCCACTTATTGATATGAGTAAAACTGAGAGAAAAGTAGTTTGAGGGGAAAATGTCAGTAGCTCAGATTTGAATATGTTGAATTGGACAGGCTCATTTGTCATCTAAGTGGTGATTTAGAGTAATTTGTAGAGACGAGTATGGAACTCGGGCGAGAAGACTAGGCTGGAGACAGAAACTTGGGAAGCATCAGCATATACATTATATTTAAAGCCTGCACCTAGATGAAATCACCAAAGGAGTGAGTATAGATATAAATGAGAAAAGGTCCAACGATTATGTTTTTAAGGCAACAATGTTAACAAGCCTGTGATATGTGAGGTATATAGCAAAGGAAACCAAGAAGGAGCAGCCAGAGGTGTTGAAAGATAATCAGGACAATGCATTGGCTTGAAAACCAAGTGAAAGAAAAGTATCTCAGGAAGAAGAAAGTGAGCAACAGTATCAAATATTGTTGATAAATCAAGTATTATGAGGAAGAGAACTGACAGCAAATTTGGTGACGATGATAAAAGTAGTGTTCCAGTTATCTATTACTGTATAACAAATCACCCTAACATTTAATGGCTTAAAGCAACAGAACTTATTGGATTATTATCTCTTACAGGTGTCACGTTTGACTGGGCTCTGCTCAGTGTTTCTCACACTGGTCTCTCATGTAGCTGCAGTCAGATGGTGGCTGAGGTGGAAATCATCTCAGAGGCTGCCTCGGCCATGTCTGGAAACAAATGCTGATTGTCTGCTGGAGCTGTCAGCTGCAACTCCCACAAGTGGGCTTTCAATGTGTCCTGGCTTTCTTGCTGCATGGTGGCTGGATTCCAAGAATCAGCATCGTAAGAAAGAAAGCCAGGTAGAAGCAGTATTACCTCCTTTGATCAGCCTTGGAACTCACGTATTACTTCGGCAGTATTTTCCTCACTGGTAGTAAGTCAATAAGGCCAGTGCTATTCAAAGAGAGGGAAATTAGATTCCACCTCTTGATGGGAGGAGTGTAGAAGAATTAGCAGAAACTGCTTTAAAACGGCTCATGCCTGTAATCCCAGCACTTTGGGAGGCCGAGGCTGGTGGATCTCTTCTCACTGAAGAGATTAAAAAAAAAAAAAAAAAAAAAAAAGCCAAAAATGTCCCGCATCACTGAGCCCATCCCTCCCTAATCCCCCAGCAACCAAGTGTGGTGAACATCTTTGGGCACTGGGGGAGGAAGAACACAGCAATTGTGAGGCATTGAACCCAGTGCCATCCTATCAGAACAGAAAGAAAAGCTGGACCAAACTCAAGTGCTGCTCTCCCACAGAGGGAGCATTTAAATCAGCCCTACCAGAGGGGAATCACAGAACCCAGCAGTTGGAACTTGAGTTCCTGCAAACCTAGCCACCAAGAGCTGCAGTGCTCTGTGTCTCCAGGTAAACTCGAAAGGCAGTCTAGGCCATAAGGACTGCAAATCGTAGGTGTGTCCCAGTGCTGAACTAGGCCCAAAGACAGTGGACTGGTTGCGCACACAACCTACTGAGAAACCAGCTGGAGCAGTTACAGGAGTGCTGGCATCACCCTTCCCCTAACCCCACACTGCAGAGTTAGCAGCTCCAAAAAGACCTCCTTTTTCCACTTGAAGTTAGAAAAGAGAAGAGTAGGGAAGACTGTCTTCCATCCTTGATACCAGCTAAGCCACAGCAGGATAGGGCACCAGTCAGTCATAAGGCCCCTGTTCCAGGCCCTAGCTCCCTGATGACATTTCTAGATACAAGCTGGGCTAGAAGGAAACTGGCTGCCTTGAAGGGAAGTACCCAGTCTTGGCAGCATTCATCATCTGCTATCTGAGTCCTTGGGCCCTGAATAACCAGCAGCAATACCCAGGTACTACATTGAGGGCCTTGGTTTAGCCTCTGAGGTCTGCTGGCTTCAGGTGAGACTCAGCACATTACCAGCTATGGTGGCTACAGGGACAAAACTCCTTCTGCTTGAAAAAAGCAGGCGGACTTTGTATTGCACCTTAGGTACCAGCATGGCCACAGGGGGACAGAACATCAAGTGAATGCTTGAGGTCCTCAATTCCAGGACTTGACTCTTGGACAACATTGCTGGACCTGCCCAGGACCAGATGGGAGCCCACTGTCCTGAATGTTGAGTCCTAGGCAAGGCAGCTTAACCACAAGCTGACTTAAGAGTCCTTGGACATTTAGAGAAGATTCCTGGTAGTCTGGCGGTACTCCTTGTGGCATGGGGTGGCAGTGGCTACAGGGTAAGGCTCCTCTGCCTTTAGAAAGGGGAGAGAACAGTGGGCAGAACTGCATTGTATGATTTGAATGCCAGTTCAGTAATTCAGTACAATAAAAAACCAGGTAGACTTCGAAGGTGTTTTTAGTCCCTGACTACTGGATAGCAGCTCTGGGACCAACCAGGGCCTGAGGATCTTGCCTCCCCGAACGGAAGGACACAGGCCTGCCTGGCTTTGTAATCTGCTGATTTTAGAGGCCCAGGGCCCTGAGCGAACATAGGTAGTAACCAGGGAGTGGTTATAGCAGGCCTTGGATGAGATCCAGTGCTGTACTAGCTTCAGGCCTGGCCTAACTTCAGTCATGGTGGTGGCCATAAAGCTGCTTATGTCTCTCCACCCCCCACATTTATGTGGTTCAGAACAGAGAAAGAGACTCCATATGTTTGGGAGAAAGTAAGGGAAGAGAACAAGAGTCTCTGCCTGATAATCCAGAGAATTCTCCAGGATTTTGCCCAAGACCATCAAGGCAGTACCTCTATGAGTCTACAAGAACCACAGCGTTACTGGCCATGGGGTACCCCATAAAGTAGTTACAGCTTAGATCACAACACACAAATCCTTTCAAATATCTGGAAAGCCTTCCCAAGAATGATGGGTACAAATAAGCTCAGATAGTAAAGACTACAATAAATACCTAACTCTTCTATGCCCAGACACTGAAGAATATCTACTAGCATCAACACCATCAAGCAAAACATGACCTCACCAAATGAACTATATAAGCCATCAGAACCAATACTGGAGAAACAGAGATGTGTGACCTTTCAGATGGAGAATTCAAAATAGCTGTGTTGAGGAAACTCAAAGAAATTCAAGATAACACAGAGGAGGTATTCAGAATTCTATCACATAAATTTAACAAAGAGATTGAAATAATTTAAAATAATCAAGAAGAAATTACAAGAACTGAAAAATGCAACTGGCGTACTGACGATTGCCTGAGTCCTTTAGTAGCAAAACTGATCAAGCAGAAGAATGAATAAGTGAGCTTGAAGACAGCCTATTTGAAAATAAACATTCAGAGGAGACAAAAGAAAGAAGAGTGAAAAACAATGAAACATGCCTATAGGATCCAGAAAATGGCCTCAAATGGGCAAATCTAAAAGTTATTGGCCTTAAAGAGGAATTAAAAAAAGATATAGGGGTAGAAATTTTTGCTTTTGTTGCCATTGCTTTTGGTATTTGAGTCATGAAATCTTTGCCCGTGCCTATGACCTGAATGGTATTGCCTAGATTTTCTTATAGGGTTTTTATAGCTTGGGGCTTTGCATATAACTCTCTAATCCATGTTGAGTTAATTTATGTATATGGTGTAAGGAAGGGGTACAGTTTTAATTTACTGCATATAGTTAGCCAGCACTCCCAGCACTAGGTATTAAATAGGGATTCCTTTCCCCATTGCTTGTTTTTGTCAAGTTTGTTGAAGATCAGATAGTTGTAGGTGCGGCCTTATTTATGGGTTTTCTATTCAATTCCCTTGGTATATGTATTTGTTCCTGTACCAGCACCATGCTGTTTTGGTTACTGTAGCCTTGTAGTATAGTTTGAAGTCAGATAGCATGATGCCTGCAGCTTTGTTCTTTTTCCTCAGGATTGTCTTGGCTATTTGAGATCTTTTTTGGTTCCATATGAATTTTAAAATAGTTTCCTCGAATTCTGTGAAGAATGTCAATGGTAATTTAATGACAATAGCATTGAATCTATAAATTACATTGGACAGTATGGCCATTTTCATGATATTAATTCTGTCTATCCACAACCGTAGAATGCTTTTCTATTTGTTTCTGTCCTCTCTGATTTCTTTGAGCAGTGGTTTGTAGCTCTCCTTTAAGAGTTCCTTAACTTACCTTGTCAGCTTTATTTGTAGGTATTGTATTTTTTGTAGCAATTCCAAGTGGGAGTTTATTTATGATTTGGCTCTCTGCTTGCCTGTTTTTGGTGTATAGAAATGAGAGCAATTTTTTCACATTGGTTTTATATCCTGAGACTTTGCTGAAGTTGCTTATCAGGTTAAGAAGCTTTTGGGCTGAGATGATGGGGTTTTCTACATATAGGATGCCATTTGCAAACAAAGACAATTTGACCTCTCTCTTCCTATCTCAGTACCCTTGATTTCTTTCTCTTGCCTGATTGCCCTGGCCAGAAATTCCAATACTATGTTTAATGAGAAAGGTGAGAGAGAGCATCCTTGTCTTGTGTTGGTTTTCAAGGGAAATGCTTCCAACTTTTGCCCATTCCATATGATATTGGTTGTGGATATTTGTCATACCTGGCTCCTACTGTTTTGAGACACTTCCCACCTCACTCTCTTGCTCCTGGTCCCACTGTGTGATATATCTCCTCCCCCTTTGCCTTTTGCCATGATTGTAAGCTTCCTGAGCCCTCCTTAGAAGCAGATGTCAATGTTATGTTTCCTGTACAGCCTGCAGAACCATGAGACAGTTAAACCTATTTTCTTATAAACTACCCAGTCTCAGATATTTCTTTATAGAAGTGCAAGAGCCTAATACAAATACCCCAAAGTGGAATTGATGGATCATGTGATATATGCTATATAATATGGTTTGGCTCTGTGTCCCCACCAAAATCTCATTTTGAATTGTAATCCCCAAGTGTCAAGGGAGGGAACTGGTGGAAGGTGATTGGATCATGACGGAGGTTTCTCCCATTCTGTTCTTGTGATAGTGAGTGAGTTCTCACGAAATCTGATGATTTTAAAGTGTGGCACTTCCCCCTCCTCCTGCCACCATGTAAAATGTGCCTTGCTTCCCCTTCAGCTTCCACCATGATTGTTAAGTTTCCTGAGGTATTCTCAGCCATGTGGAACTGTGAGTCAATTAAACCTTTTTTCTATATAAATTACACATTCTCAGGTAGTTCTTTGTAGCATTGTGAAAATGGACTAATACAGTACATATATTTGGAAAGACAGGGTATCACTTTGTCACCCAAACTGGAGTGCCATGGTGTGATCATAGCACAAGGCAGCCTTGACCTCCTGGGCTCAAGCAGTCCTTCCACTTCAGCCTCCTGAGTAGCTGGTACTACAGGAACCCGCCATAACATCCAGCTAATTAAAACAAAATTTGTAGAGACAAGGTCTTCCTATGATGCCCAGGCTGGTTTTCAACTCCTGAGCTCAAGCAATTTTCCCACCTCAGCCTCCCAAAGTGCTGGAATTACAGGCATGAGCCACCATCCCTGGCCTGGTAATTTTATTTTTGGTTTTTTTTTTAGGAGCCTCCATAATATTTTCCACAGCAGTTGCATCATTTTGCATTTCTACCAACAGTGCACAAAAGTTCCAATTTCTCCACATCCTCATGGATATTTGTCATTTACTGTTTGATAATGGCCATCCAAACAGAAGAGAGAGTATACTAACTCACTGTCACTTTGATTTGCATTTCCTTGATAATTAGTGACCTTGGGCATCTTTTCATATACCCGTTGGCCACTTGTATGTCTTTGGAGAAATGTTTACTCAAGTCCTTTGTCTATGTTTTAATCGAATTATTTGTTTCTTTGCTATGGAATTGTAGGAGTTTCTTATATATTTTGGAAAACAATCTTTTTTCATATGTATGGTTTGCAAATATTTTTCCCACTCCATGGGTTGTCTTATTATTCTGTTCATTGTTCCTTTTGCTGCACTTTTTATTTTGAGGTAGTCCCACTTGTATAGTTTTGCTTTTGTAACTCGTGCTTTTGGTGTCTTATTTAATAAATTATTTCCAGGCTCAATGTCGTGAAGATTTTCCTCCATGCTTTCTTCCAGTTTTATAGTTTCAGGCCTTGTGTTTAAATATTTAATCCATTTGAGGTGATTTTTGTACATAGTGTAATATAAGGTTCCAATTTTATCCTTTTGCATGTGTCTATACAGTTTTCCTCAACATTATTTGTTGAAAAGAAAGAAGAATGGGATTTAATAATGATAATCTCACGCAGAGAGGAGTGCCAAGCCTGTAGAGAGCACACTGGGGTAAAGGGCCCTGCCTCAAGCCTGCAGATTTCTAGGCCTCCAATTTGATCCCTGGTAAAGAATTAATATGCGGAGTCCTGTAGAGAGGTCATCTTACTCTCTGTTCATAAACTGCCTTTTGACCTCTGCTGAGGAAGGGTTCTAGGCCAGCAGTATGGTGATTTTATTCTGAGTCTATGGATACTCTCTTGACCTCTGCCAATGGTATTCTGCAAAGAAGTGGTCTTTTAAAAGGACATAGAATTCCTCTTGAATTCTGATGAAAAAGAGTCTGGTTTAAATTCCTTCTACCTCTTACTCTACAGTTTATCTACATTATCATTATAGTTTCAAAACATATATTTAGACATAGTTGGCAGAATAGAGTGGTCCTCTCACTTTATAATTCTAGATAACTCTACTACTGATAACGTACCCTGACGTCGCATCACACTGTTATTTCCAGTGAACTTACCTCTCTGGCATGCATTTTTGATAAGCCGTATATTCAAATAACTATTACAAAAGCAGCATGTAGACAACAGTAAAATAAATTTGTAGAGAGATTAGGAAAATTATACTTGATGGGATAATTGAGAAAAGAAATTTGGGAAGTGGCAATTAGGCTGGTTTTGAAGGATGTTAGAATTGGGGTCATAGAGAATAGCATGCATACAGACAAAGAGGAAAACAGGGGTACTTAGACAAAATCATGGAAGTAGTCATTTTTTGTGCAGTATACGTTGTTTTAAATAGAGATTTTTAGGAATGTGGCTAGAAAGGTAAGTTGGAGCCTGTTCATAGGTGACCTTTAGTCACCTATGAAATTAAATTTTCAATTTAGTAAATTGAAAAGAGTTTGCACTATATTTTGTAAGTGCTAAAGAGCAAGTGATATCTTTTGAAATAGGAAGTGATGTATCTAAAGCATAATATGCTATCCTTTTCACAAGGAACCATGAGGATAAGAACCAAGAGGATCTTGTTTTTTGGGGTTGTTTCATTTAGATATATATTTTCCCTGTTTATGGCTTCTTTTAACATTTCTATTTTTCTTTTTTTTTAACACTGTGTATCCTTGGATTTCTTTTTACCTCTAAGTGTGCTTAATTCTTCCTGGGATTTGGTAATTTATCCATCCATGTTTAAATATATACCAGGGTTCTTTGGGGGAACAATCTCAGCTCTCCAGGCATAGAAATCTGTTGCCTTCTCCTATAACAGCAAACATTTCAGTAGTTCCTATAACAAAAGATTAAGGTGTAATAGGGTTAAATAATTATAATGTATGCAGAGCAGGAATAACAGCACTGGTCTATCCCTGGGCATAAGCTCTCTGTCCACATCATCCTGGCAGCTGTTTAGGTAATCGATTTTCTGTAAACAAGGCATGAAAATACTCCCACTTCCTTTGAAAGGACAGCACACCCAGGGTGTCTTTCAGTCTTATTGATTTGAAATCACATTCAATGACTGACTTGGAATCATCAAGTGGCTTTCCCTGGAGTTAAAGCACCAGAAAGATTTAATTAGAGAGCTTCAGTCCAGACAAAAGATACCATATCATTGACTTAAAATCTGAACTGAACTTCTCTTTTGATGCTGATGGGTGAAAAATGAAGTTGTTTTTGGTCGTTTCTAAAATGTTTTCTGAGGCCCTGTGGATTTCTTGAGGTCAGGCAATCTGTCTGATGAATTTATCTGCAAGCCCCAGCAGAGGGCCTAGCACTGAGCAGGTGTTATGAAAAAGTTTTCAGTTTCTTTAACTGAATGGCCTTTTGACCTATTAAAAGCAATTCAAAATCAAAGTTAATAACAAATTGATTATTGCATACTCTAAAGCTATTTGGAAAAATTTGGTTCCAAATAATATACATACCTTGTCTTTAAGTGTTAACAAGAGCAGGAAGTATCTCATGTTAAGCAGTTATAATGTGAAACTGAAAGGGGGTTTCCAATGTCACATGGAAATGATTTCAGGTACAATCCTCAGCAATAGTTGTGTTTTTTAATCACAGTTATATTTTTATCCATAACGTGGATATTATACGAAAATGTATCGACCTGTGTGAAAATTTCTTTGGGACAAATCTTCACAAAGAGATTTTTTTGGGTTTTATTAAGTACATATGATCACAAAAAAGGGAACAACAAACAGCAGGGCCTGGTTGAGGTTGGAGAGAGAAAGAAGGGTAAGGATTGAAAAACTACCTATCAGGCTCCAAACTGCTATTACCTGGGTGACAAAATAATCCGTACACCATCCCCTAGCAACACACAATTTACCTATTTAACAAGCCTGCACATGTACCCTTGAACCTAAGATAAATGTTAAAACAAAACAAAACAAAAAAGGATTGTAAAAAGAAGAATTGTTGAGTTTAAAGATATACATATATTTAATTGACTGACTGACACCAAATTACTCTCCAGAGTGGCTGCACCAGTCGACATTCCCATCAACAGTGCAATTTTGTAACATCTAAGCCTGGATTTGGCATTATCCAGCTTCCTAATTTTTGTCAATCTAATAATAAGTGCATCTTTATCGAATGTTCACATCGATTTATTAAAGTGTTTTAGATCCTCTGGTTTACACATGAGAAAGCTGAGACACAGCAAGATGAAGCTCTTCGACCAAAGTCACGTAGCTATATGTATGCTCTCAGGTAATAGAATTGCTTTGCTTATTGCATTTGGAGTCTGGACAATTGCCTCAAAGAATTTCTTCGGAGAATTATGTTCCAAAGAATACCGTTCTAATTTTTCTTCAACTAATTACTCACCAATTCTTGATTCTTTTGGATCTGGGAGCGATTAAAAGTAACTCTAGACATGTATTGTTAAGTTTTGACCAATGAACATAATCTGATTGTGTATAAATATATAAGAGTAACAGATTTGCCTAATTTTCCATTTCTAACAGCCTATAAACATAAGGAACACACTTAGGAATGAAACTGTTCATCTCATCACAAAGAGATTTTTACACGAGTGTTTGTCATGTACTGGCACAGAATTGTGGGTCTGATTTATAACAGTCTCTCTGGTCACCTACTCAAAACCCTGCTGTCCTAATACCACCCATATGCCAAGTCATCATTTTTGTCATGTAATTTTGCTTCTAGCCCCTTTCCAACTGATATGATTTGGCTCTCTGTCCGCATCCAAATCTCATGTCGAATTGTAATTCCCAATGTTGGGGGAAGGACCTAGTGGGAGGTGAGGTGATAAGCTCATGGGGGAAGATTTCCCCCTTGCTGTTCTCATGATAATGAGTGAGTCTCATGAGATCTGGATCTTGAAAAGTGTGTAACACTTCTGCCTTAGCTTCTTCTTTCTCTGCCGCTCCACCATGTGAAGAAGGTGCTTGCTTCCCATTCGTCCTACTGCCATGATTGTAAGGTTCCTGAGGCCTCCCCAGTCATGCTTTCTGTACAGCCTGTAGTACTGTAGGTCAATTAAACCTTTTCTCTTCATAAATTACCCAATCTCAGGTAGTTCTTTATAGCAGTGTGAGAATGGACTAATATGCCAACTTTATCCTTTTCTTATCAAGAATTACAGATGGTCCCTGTTTTCAAATAATCTCCTCTGCATCAACCCTCTTAATTTATCTTTCAAATTTCTCTTACACTTAGCATTAATCAATGACAGCACCATTCCTAACTCTACCCCTCTTCAACCTAGCCATCCAGCATATAGCAACAATTATCATTCTTCCAATACTTTAAGATCTTCTTATCATTCCAAAATGGAACTTGCGGTACAACCAAGAGGAGCTCTCCTCTCAGTTAAAGAATGAGGGGAACACGGCTTTAAAATCATACATTCACACACGTATTAGCTGTTTGATTATGGACAAGATAACATAATTTCTGTCTGCCTAAGTTGATCCTTCTGCAAAATGAAGACAATAAAATCCAAATCATACAGCATTTGTGGGCATTAATGAATAAAACTACCTAGAACAATGCACATCTGATACATCATAAGCAGTAAGTAAGTTATTTCCATTATGGTTATTGTTAAGTTTTTCAAGAGAGTATCTATACAATAAATTTATTTCCTTGAAGAAATATGAATTAATTTTAATATGGATGTTAATGACAAAAGTAAAACACGTTCATTATAAAGGTCTAGAAGAATAAAATGTGTACAAATTTTTAAAAAAATTCACATTACTTGCCCGGGCGCGGTGGCTCACACCTGTAACCCCAACACTTTGGGAGGCCAAGGCGGGTGGATCACGAGGTCAGGAGATGGAGACCATCCTGGCTAACACGGTGAAACCCCATCTCTACTAAAAATACAAAAAATTAGCCAGGCGTGGTGGTGGGCGCCTGTAGTGCCAGCTACTAGGGAGGCTGAGGCAGAAGAATGGCGTGAACCCGGGAGGCGGAGCTTGCAGTGAGCCGAGATTGCGCCACTGCACTCCAGCCTGGGCACAGAGCGAGACTCCGTCTCAAAAAAAAAAAACAAAAAAAAATTCACATTTCTCCTTAGGCATGTTTCTCAAAGGTAACTAGTCCTTAAAGACATTTTTCTTTGCCTATGCAAATATATAAACACTATGTAGATTTCTCATTAATGAAAATAGGAATATAATATACATATTGTTCTATGATTTAACTCTTTTCTTATCTATTTACATTTTCATTTAAAAGCATAGAATTCTATAGCATGACCACACCCAGAGGTAGGCTAGTAAATGTCTAATAACTGGTTCTCCAGAAAAAAAAAGGTCCTAATTGGTACCATTTTCTTATTTTTGTGTTGTAAATACTCCCATGGCTGAACGCAAGCAACCACTGTAACATTGATAACTACAGAATTAGAAAGAAAAGTTAATACCCAGCTCTTGCAAAGCAGTATAAAAGCACTCTTGCACACCACTGGCTGTGCCATTATTTCAAAAAATAAAAGTAATGTTTTTATAAGGAACTTTTAATAAATACAGGGGTATCATCTTAGGGTAGACCAAAAAGATTGTGGTATAAAATAGTATGAGGATTTCTATATGAAAATCTAAGCAAATACATAAATAACAAGACTATATTTTCTCAAACACTACATTTTAAATGATATAAAAAGTATAAAACCTCATAATTCATAAAAGCACACTACAAATATTTACAGTATCAACACAATTTTATGAAAAACATAATCACGCACACAGATACACACAGTTAAAGATAAGTACTTTTTTAGATAAGTACTGACTAAATATAAAGTGGATTATGAGAATTTTGTCAGAATAGGTGATGGAATTATTGGTTATCTTAATTTTCTTCTTTCAACTTTTCTGTATTTTCAAAGTATTTTTTAATCTCATATTATGTTTGTAATTTGAAATTCAACTTAAAAAATAAAAATCCACTTTTATGATCAGATTCTGTAGTTCTGTGATACTCTCCTTTTAAAAGTATTCTAAATATAAGGCAATCTAAGTAATGTAGGGACTCAATCTATGTAAATTGTCACTGAGATAATTCATAATTATTTAGCCACTAAATATCAAAGATCCATTGTTTAAATGTTCAGCTTTCAGAACTTGTTTGGGTCCTGGTTTAGCATCAGCACCATATTCCCTGCAATCCATCCTTATATATCTGTATTATAACATTTGGAATGAATACAACTTAATAATGTATATTTTTAGGAGCAGTAAAATACAAGTGATTTTGAGACTTATTTGATAAAAATTTAAATCTACCAGTTTACTATTTTTTTTCTTTGCTATCTCTTGGTTCTTCATTCTCTTTTTCTCTATCTATGCCTTCTTTTGGATGAAAAATAGACAATTTTTAGTATTCCATTTAATCTCCTCTTGTGGTTTATTAGCTTTATTAAGTACTTATGGTTTTTTAATAATAGTTGCTTCATGATTTGATAAGTATCGTAAAGAGACTTATCAAATAAGTCTCAATATTACTTACATCATTTGATTTAATATTTAATAGTATTTAGTATTTAATAGAGACAGTATTTAGTATTTGATTTGATTTAATATTTAATAATATTTAGTATTTAATAATAGCTGAGTGATTTCTAAGTGCACAATTTGCCTAGCAATTAGTAATTATTAAATAAACGTTAACTTCCCTTTCTGTTATTAAATCACTTATTTGAAACTCTAGGCATGTGTACAGCCAGTGCTCAATAATAAAACAAACAATTTTAAGTTTTTCAAATGGGAAGGGACTTATTTATTTATTTATTTATTTATTTATTGAGATGGAGTCTCGCTCTGTCGCCCAGGCTGGAGTGCAGTGGCGCCATCTTGGCTCACTGCAAGCTCCGCCTCCTGGGTTCACACCATTCACCTGCCTCAGCCTCCCGAGTAGCTGGGACTACAGGTGCCCACCACCACGCTCGGCTAATTTTTTAATATTTTTAGTACAGACTGGGTTTCACCGTGTTAGCCAGGGTGGTCTCGATCTCCTGACCTCGTGATCCGCCCGCCTCGGCCTCCCAAAGTGCTGGGATTACAGGCGTGAGCCACCGCGCCCGGCCGGTAAGGGATTTAATAAATATGTTGGTTATCTATAAAATCACTGCAAGGGAAATGCTTTCACTGACAACGATGTAGTAAAAAGAGCTGTTTTTACCCTCTTGCCCATAACAACTAAAACGATAGACAAAAAAAAAAAAAAATTGGTTTTCAAAGCATTAGATATCAGATAATGAACAACAGTTATCCCTGTGAGAGAGCACAAACAAGATGAGACTTAAGAGGACCCCAGCTTACTGGATGGTGAGAGTTTTTTGGCTGTGGGATAGGAAAAAGAAACTCAGGAGGGTCCTTGTGGCTCACTCTGAGTTGAAGAGACAAAACTGGGAGTCCAGGGAGGCCAAGGTGGCTAGAGTTCACATGGAAGAGCACCAGAGAAGAACAAGATGCACAGAAAGAGCTTCAGAGATCTGCAGTGTCCCTCTTAAATATTCAGCAGAGTATTTTGAATGCATGTGAGGAAACTCGCCTAGGTAAAGGAAAGGACTACTCAAGAAGATTAAGAACAATCCCAAGTTTCAAACAGGGCTGGGTGTAGTGGACAAAGTATTCTATAGCACACAAGGTAGAGGGTTTTGCATCAGGAGTAGTGGGAAATTAGCCCTAAACTAAATACCACTCTGGTCTCACCTAACAAAGATTATATGTAATACTCTAAAGTGTCAAGCTGCTTCTTGGCAAATCAATTTTGTCCCAAAACAAAGCAAAATAATATTTACAGAAATTTATGTATTTATATCCAGCACGCACCAAGTTAAAATTCACAATGTTTAGAGTACAACAAAATGTTTCTGAAAATGTAAAGAACAGGAAAAATATGACCCATAATGAAGAAAAAATAACTTGATTGTAACCAGCCCAGAGATAACACAGATGACATAATTAATGAACAAAATATTTAAACAGTTATTGTAAATTTATTGTGTATGTTCCAGAAGCTAGAAGAAAAAAGTAAAAGACATGGAAGATATTTTAAAAAGCCAAAATGAACTTATAGAGGTGAAAACTTTCTCTGAGATAAAAAATATACTGGATATTTGAACATTTTTTGATCTATTGAAATGGCAATTTCATAGGGTTCAAATTAATAAACATATGTAAGTCCAGAGATCAACACTTTGATGTTATCCTTTATTTCTATTTCTTAGGTTAATTTTTAAAAAATGTATTGCCTATACATTTTTTGTAAGCTTCTCTTTTTAATTAAAGGTTTTATATATATATATATAATATATAAATAGCATGTGTACTTTTATATTTGTAATATTTTTATAACAAACATAAAGTGGTATAATATATTTTGACGGTAGACAATGAACAGTTAAAGACGCATACTATAAATTGTTAAGCAACTATTATTATAAAACAGTAAAGTACTTGACAAAGCTAATAAACCAAAAGAAGAGATAAAATGCAATACAAAAAATTGTCTATTTTTAATCCAAAAGAAGGCATAAAAAGAGGAAAAGAGAATAAAGAACACAAAAGACAGTTAAAAAACATAGAGTAAACTGATAGATTTAAACTCAACTATATCAACAATCACATTAAATGTAAGTCGTCTGAACACACCCATTACAAGGCAGAGACTGTCAGATTGATTAAAAAGCGAGATCCAACTATATGTTGCCCACAAGAAATCCACATGAAATATAAAGACGTATATAGCAAAAAGTAAAAGGATGCTAAAACTAAGCAAAAAATAAAAATAAATAAATGGCTATACTAACATATGACAGAATAGGTTTAAGAGCAAATTATAGCAACAGAGAAAATCATTATTTTATAATGATAAAGGCTCAATTCATTAAGAACATATAATAATATTAAATTAGCAGAGCTTCTAAATACATGAATCAAAAATCGAAGTAACTGCAAGGATAGAAAATAGAAAAAATCAAAATTATAGTCAGAGATTTCAGTACCTCTTTCTCAATAATAGGTAGAAAAACTATGGATAAAATCTTAAGTAAGGATGTAGACAATAACACTATCAATCAACGTAACCTTATTGACATTTACAGAACACTCAATAAAACAATGTAAGGATAAACATTTTATTCAATTTTACACACAATATTTACCAAGATTGGTTATATTCTCACCTATAAAATAAGTTTCTACAAATCATGAAAAGTATTTTCTCTGACCACAGTGGAATTAAAATAGAAAGCAGCAGAATAATACATTTGGAAAGTTCAAAATATTTGGAATTTAAAAGCACATTTCTGAATAACCCATAGGTAAAAGAAAAAGTCAAAAGGGAAATTGGAAACATGTCAAAATTTGTGGAATGCATATAAAACAATATTTAGAGGCAAACTTATTATTCTAAACAGCTACATTAGAAAAGAACAAAGGTCTCAAATCAATGTCAGTGAATAGAAAACAAAATCAATAAAGCCAAAAGCTGGTTCTTTGAAAAGATTAGCAAAATTGATAAACTTCTAGTCAGACTGATAAGGAAAAATAGAAGACACAAATTACAAATACCAGAAATGAGAGAGGGCATATCACTACATATTTTACATAAAGAGAATAAGGGAATATTATATATAATGTTATACCAACAAATTCAAGTACTTAAAAGAAATAAACAAATTTCTTGAAAGATACAACCTTAAAAAGCCTCACTTAAGAAACAGATAATTAGAATAGCCTTATGTGATTACTTTCATAGGCTAACTTTTGGCTAAGCTATGGTGACCAGCTATTTTGGTCAAATACTAGTCTAGATATTGCTTTAAGAAAAGCAGATTACCCTCAATTGTATTGGTGGTCCTCACCCAATTAGTTGAAGGCCTTAGGAGCTAAAACCAATGTTTCCTGGAGAAGAAGGAATTCTGCCTCTTAAAGGCAACACAGAAATCATTCCTGAGTTTCCAGCCTGATTGATTGCCCTATGGATTCAAGACTGCAACATCAACTCTCATTTGAATTTCCAGCTTCTTTGAGTCTTCCCTTTAAGTTTCAGATTTGCCAGCCTCCAGAGTCATATAATCCAATTTTAAAAAAAATCTCTCAATAGATGATAGATAGATATTTATATAAAGATATATCTATATCTAGGGAGATAATATGTATTTTTTATATATACACATATATTACGTATATATAGAATCCCTATAAGTAATATATCTGTATCTATATATAAAATAGAATGTATGTAATAGGATATATATACACATATATAATATGATATATATACACATACATAATATGATATATATATACATACATCTATTTATCTATCTATTTATCCATCCTATTGATTCTGTTTCTCTGGAGAGCCCTGACTGATATACATGTTGGTACTGAGAATGGTTCAAGAGGAACAGAATTTTAGGGATGAGTTTTAGGAATTGGTTCTGGGGTTTCTGTAATTACTTCTCAAAATTACCACTGGGTACTCCTAAAAAATACTTAGAAGATGTAAGGTTCTAGGTGACTATGTATTTGATATGTTATAAAACATTTTGTCAAACTAACAAGTGTAATGAGATTGGCTGCTTGCTCCTAACTGCATTTGACAAAGTGGAGAATGAAAAGTGTGAACCAAAGTCTTCAAAACAGCTCAAGTGTCACATAAATTACATGAAAGATTCTAAGTCTGCTGTGAAAGAAACCTTTACCTCTTGTAGCCACAGAATTTATATTGCTGGAAACCAAACCCAGCACTGCATCATCAAATGGAAATGGTATATATGAGATCAGGCTCAACCAGCTCTGAAGGCACAAGTAAGTTACATGCAGTAGTGGCCCAAATGTCCATGGTCCCCACTCCTGTTTCATTGTCTGCCTTTTTTTTCCTGTTATATTGTCTTTTCACTCCAAGCTCACACCGATGTCCTCATGGGTGATTCCATATGATCAATTAACTGAGAAAGAGAAAACTCAGGCCTGGTTTACAATGGTTCTGCGTGATATACAGGCACCACCAGAATATGGACAGCTGCAGCACTATTGCCCCTTTCTAGGACTTCTCTGAAGGATATTTCTGAAGGGACAATCTTCTCAGTGAGCAGAACTTGGAGCAGGGCATGAGATTTTTCATTTTGCTTTGAAGAAGAAATGGACAAATGTGTGAATGTATGCCAATTCACAGGCTGTGGCTAATGGTTTGACTAGAGGGATGGTCGATCTAAATGTGGTCTAAACCTAGGGAGGAGTGTTTTTATAACAAGCACTCTCTAATAGAACAAACCTTTAAAAATATTCATAAATTAAAGAAAATAGTAATAATGTTCAGAAAAGTGTGATGTTTTCTTCACTGATCTTTTTTATTTACAATCACTACAAAACATAAGAGACTTTTAAGAAAGCCAACATGTGCAATAGGAACAATGTAAGCAACCATTCAATTACACAGCTAACGTAACATGTTAATTTCTTTATTTGGTCTGTAGTTTTAAAACTAAAGAAATGAAAATTGTTTCACTTTTGAAAATGTTCAAAATGAATAAAATATTTTATGTACAAATATAGTAAAATTTCAGACTTCTCAAGCAAAACTTTGTACCTCGGAGTTCACACTTTCACTTTTTATACACAAAAACAAATACATCCAATTGTGTCTTTACCATTTTCATGAATTATTGTTTATTTTGAATTAACTGTTTAAAAATAAAATATGCATATTACATACATTAGTATCGAGATTGAAGATTAGATGTGCACTGGAAGTGAACTCAAAAAATTCCAAACCCTGAAGAGCTTAACTACAAAACAGTAGTAACTATATCAGTCAGGGTCAGGGGCCAACTATATAACTAAGCCTTCTGGTAACCTCTATTCTATTTTCTATCTCTATGAAGTTGTTCATTCTAGGCATTTCAAGTAAGTGGAATCATACAATATCTGTTTTACTGGGTCTGGTTTACTTCATGTGGCATAATATTTTCAAGGTTCATCATCCATGTCATAGCCTATATCAGAATTTCATCCACTTCATAGCTGAATAATATTCCATTGTATGCATATACTGCATTCTATTTATCCATTCATCTGTTGATGAATACTTGGGTTGTTTCTACCTTTGACTACTGTAAATAGTGCTGCGATGAACATTTGTGTACAAATATCTGTTTGAGCCCTGCTCTCAATTATTTTGAGTATGTACCTGGGAGTGGGGTTTCTGGAACACATGGTAACTCTATGGTTAACTTTTTGGGGAACTACCAAACTGTTTTCCACAGCAGCTGCATCATTTTTCCTTCCCATCAGCAGTTCATGGGGACTCCAATTTCTCCACATCCTCGCAAACACTCGTTGTTTATAAATTCTCCCACAATAGCCATGCTAAGGGGTTTGAAGTGATTATCTGATTGTGGTTTGGTCTTGCATTTCCCTAATGATTAGTGATTTTGGCATCTTTTCATGTACCAATTGGCCATTTGTATAACTTCCCTGAAGAAATGTTTATTTAAGTCGTTTGTCCTTTATTTATTTATTTATTTATTTGAGACAAGGTCTTGCTCTGCCGCTCAGGCTAGAATGCAGTGGAGCATTCTTGGCTCACTGCAACTCCTCTTTCTGGGCTCAAGCTATCCTCCTACCTCATTCTCTCAAGTAGCTGGGTCTACAGGTGCACACCATCATCCCCGGCTACATTTTGTACTTTTTTTTTTTTTTTGAGATGGAGTCTCTCTCTGTCGCCCAGGCTGGAGTGCAGTGGTGTGATCTTGGCTCACTGCAAGCTCCACCTCCCGGGTTCACGCCATTCTCCTGCCTCAGCCTCCCGAGTAGCAGGGACTACAGGTGCCCGCCACCACGTCTGGTTAATTTTTTTTTCTTTTGAGGCGGAGTCTCACTCTGTCACCCAGGCTGGAGTGCAGTGGCGCTATCTCGGCTCACTGCAAGCTCCGCCTCCCGGGTTCACGCCATTCTCCTGCCTCAACCTCCCGAGTAGCTGGGACTACAGGTGCCCGCCACCACGCCCGGCTAATTTTTTTGTATTTTTAGTAGAGACAGGGTTTCACGGTGTTAGCCAGGATGGTCTCAATCTCCTGACCTCGTGATCTGCCCACCTCGGCCTCCCAAAGTGCTGGGATTACAGGCGTGAGCCACCGCGCCTGGCCAAATTTTGTACTTTTGGTAGAGACGGGGATTCACTATGTTGCCCAGGCTGGTCTCAAACTCCTGAGCTCAAGCAATCTACCCACCTCGGCTTCCCAAAGTGCTAGGATTGCAGGCCTGAGACACCAGGCCTGTAACTGTCCATTTTTTAATGAAGTTGTGTTTTGTGTAGCTGTAGAATTAATCTTACATACTTTGAAAACTTTAAACAAAGTGAAGTTTAAAACTTAGACCAATGAAAGAGTTTATTGAGGAAGGTTGTTTTCCCACTATCATTATTTAGAAATGCTAGAATGTGATCATAATAAGATTAGCTTTTATTTGGTTTTATTCTTGTTCTAGAACACCTTCCAGGGCAAGCAATATTGTGATTTCCACCAATAAAGATTAGCTTTGCCTGTTTTTTTTTTTTTGCCTATAAATTGTACAATATGTACCCTTTGGGCCTTTTCTTTTTATTCGGTATGTTTCTAAAGTTCATGCATATAGTTTTGTCTGTCAGTGGTTTGTTCTTTTTTGTTTCTATGTAGTATTTCTTCATCTAAATAAACCACAGACTCCTGATGATGGAGATTTGTATGTGATATATATGAATATATATGGACTATTATAAACAAAACTGAAGAGAAGAAGAAATATCTGCAGATGTGTCCCTGTATCACCTGCTCAGAGGGTAAAACTCTTCCACTGCCTCACCCGTGCAAGGCTTTTATCCACTCCAACATTCTTAGCAAGAAAATGGCCTAATCTGTGTTGGGTTTGCACTCTCCAAGCATTATTTCAGTTGTTGGAAGTGCTTTCACCCTAGCTTTCAGTAAGGTGAATGTTTTGTGCTTTCTGAACTTCTGGCTTACATCATAGAATTTGCTGGTTCTGAGGCCTCCAGACTTGGACTGAGCCATGCTAATGGCATCCCTAGTTTTCCAACTTGTATATGGAGACTTCCTGGCTTCTACAACTGTGTGAACACATTCCTCTAATTATTCCCCTTCCATACATCCTATATTAGTCCATTTTCACACTGCTGATAAAGACATACCCGAGACTGGGCAATTTACAAAAGAAAGAGGTTTATAGGACTTATAGTTCCACATGGCTGGGAGGGCCTCACAATCATAGTGGAAGACAAAGAGGAGCAAGTCATATCTTATGTGGATGGCAACAGGCAAAGAAA
This sequence comes from Homo sapiens, assembly GCF_000001405.40. NCBI lineage: Eukaryota > Metazoa > Chordata > Mammalia > Primates > Hominidae > Homo > Homo sapiens. The sequence goes on from NC_000023.11 coordinate 145,544,402, forward strand.
AAGCTAGTGCAGGGAAACTGTCCCTTATAAAACCATCAGATCTCATGAGACTTATTCACTATCATGACAACAGCATGGGAAAGACCTGACCCCATGATTCAGTTACCTCCCACTGGGTCCCTCCCACAACACGTGGGAATTCAAGATGAGATTGAGTGGGGACACAGCCAAACCATATCATTCCACCCCTGGCTCCTCCCAAATCTCAGGTCCTCACATTTCAAAACCAATCATGCCTTCCAAACAGTCCCCTAAAGTCTTAAGTCATTTCAGCATTAACTCAAAAGTCCACAGTCCAAAGTCTTATCTGAGACAAGGAAAGTCCCTACTACCTATGAGCCTGTAAAATCAAAAGCAAGTTAGTTACTCCCTAGACACAGTGGGGGTACAGGCATCAGGTAAATACAGCCATTCCAAATCAGAGAAATTGGGCAAAACAAAGGGGCTACAGGCTCCATGCAAGTCCGAAATCCTGTGGAGCGGTCAAATCTTAAAGCTCCAAAATGATCTCCTTTGACTCCATGTCACACATCCAGGTCACGCTGATGCAAGTGGTGGGTTCGCATGACCTTGGGCAGCTCTACTCCTGTGGCTTTGCATGATACAGCCTCCTTTCTGACTGCTTTCACAGGCTGGCGTTGAGTATCTGCAGCTTTTCCAGGTGCACAGTGCAAGCTGTTCGGGGATCTACCATTCTGGGGTCTGGAGGATAGTGGCCTTCTTCTCACAGCTCCACCGGGCAGTGCCCCCGTAGGGACTCTGTGTAGGGGCTCCAATCCCACATTTCCCTTCCACACTGCCCTAGCAGAGTTTCTCCATGAGGGCCTTGCCCCTGCAGCAAACTTCTGCCTTGGCATCTAGGCGTTTCCATACATCCTCTGAAATCTAGGCAAAGGTTCCCAAACTTCAATTCTTGACTTCTGTGCATCTGCAAGCTCAACACTATGTGGAAGCTGCCAAGGCTTGGGACTTCCACCCTCTGAAGCAACAGCCTGAGCTGTACCTTGGCCCATTTTAGTCATGGCTGGAGTGGCAGGGACACAGGGCACCAAGTCCCTAGACTGCACACAGCAGAGGGACCCTGGACCTGGCCCAGAAAACCATTTTTTTCTCTTAAACCTCTGGGCCTGTGATGGAAGGTGCTGCCACACCATTGTCTTGGAGATTAGTATTGAGGTCTTCATTACTTATGCAAATTTCTGCAGCTGGCTTGAAGTTCTCCTCAGAAAGTGGGATTTTCTTTTCTGTTGCATTGTCAGGCTGCAAATTATGTGACCTTTTATGCTCTGCTTCCCTTTTAAAACTGAATGCCTTTAACAGCACCCAAGTCATCTCCTGAATGCTTAGCTGCTTAGAAATTTCTTCTGCCAGATACCCTAAATTATCTCTCTCAGTTTCAAAGTTCCACAAATCTCTAAGGTCGGGGCAAAACGCCACCAGTCTCTTTGCCAAAATATAAAAAGAGTCACCTTTGCTCCAGTTCTTAATAAGTTCCTCATCTCCATCCGAGAACATCTCAACCTGGATTTCATTGTCCATATCATTATCAGCATTTTGGTGAAAGCCATTCAACAAGTCTTTAGGAAGTTCCAAACTTTCCCACATTTTCCTGTCTTCTGAGCCCTCCAAACTTTCTAACTTCTGCCTGTTACCCAGTTCCAAAGTTGCTTCCACATTTTTGAGGATCTTTTCAGCAGCGCCCCACTCTACTGGTACCAATTTACTGTATTAGTTTGTTTTCATGCTGCTGATAAAGAGATACCTAAGACTGTGCAATTTACAAAAGAAAGAGGTTTGATGGACTTAGAGCTTCATATGGCTGGGGAGGCCTCACAACCATGGTGGAAGGCAAGGGGGAGCATGTGACATCTTACATGGATAGTGGCAGGCAAAAAGAGAGCTTGTGCAGGGAAACTCCCTTTTATAAAGCCATTACATCTTGTGAGACTTATTCACTATCATGAGAACAGCACAGGAAAGACCTGCCCCCATGACTCAATTACCCCCTACTGGGTCCCTCCCACAACACATGGGAATTCAAGATGACATTTGGGTAGGGACACAGCCAAACCATATAACATCCCATATATCTTTTCTTCTCTCTATATATCCTATTGGTTCTGTCTTTCTGGAGAATCCTGACTAATACTTGGTACTAGCAACAACAACGATGACTCTCAAAAAAAAATGGTGAGTGAAAGAAACCAGACAAAAAGAATCAATACTGTATGCTTCCATTAAATAAAACTTACAAATGCAAACTTGTCAACAGTGACAGAAAGCAGATCATTAGCTGCCTGGGTTGGAGGCAGGGCCAAGAGGGGGAAAAGGGATTACAAATGGCATTTTAAATACATGGAGTTAATTATGTTTTTGATAGCTCAATGATGTTGTTAAAATAGCAACAATGAATACAAGTACAACAACAACAAAGCACTGGAATGAATAAAGACGGTGAAAGTCCAGATGACCGCTACTATCTTTCATCTTCACGTTTGCAGATGCTTATAGAGATTCTGCTGCCCAGGGTCAAGGATCTGCAGAAAATCACTGCCAACTTGCTAGATCTTCCTCAGCCTCAAAGCAGATGAAATGGTTGGGTAATGAAGAGGCTGCAGCATATATATATATATATATATATATATATATATATGTATGTATGTATACACACACACACGTATATACTTATATATACACATATATATATTTTTGTGTGTGCATTTGAGAATCTTTTGAGTGTACTTGCCACTTATAGATGAAGAAGATAACAGGACTCTGCTTCTCCTCTGCCTTCCAAATCTGACAATAATGCATCTTACCATAAGATGTAAGTAGGGCTTCCCAAGCTTTAATGTGCTTACAAATCACTTGGGGACCTTGGTAAAATAGAGATCTTAATTCAGTAGGTTTGATATGGGGCTAAGATTCTACATTTCTGACAAGCTTTTGAGTGATGCTGATACTGCAGGTCTATAGCCCACTCTTTGAGTAACCAAGTTACATGACATGAATTGATCTGGTTCATTCTTGGATTCCATTTCAAAAAAGTTTAATTCTGCCAGTGACAGGTAAACTCATTTGTAACCCTGTTTTGTCTCTAATGTGAACCCCTCTATTGCATCTAATTTTTCAAAAAACATGTGTCTGAAAGTTGGCCGTTGATTATTCTCGGATTGCATTAGTTCTAGGTGAGGGTCAGCAATCTATGGTGTTGGATATATTACTGCTCAAGAGATGCACCTTTCCATTTTTATTCTATTAGTTCTTACATCAAGTGTATGCTCTTCTCTTATTTTCTCTTTCATGTTGTCCAGTATCAGCACTTACACGAATGACAAGGCTGACCACTATGTTCTCTGAATAGCTATGGTCAACATAAATATTAAAGAAGAATATCTATCAGTTTTCCTTTGCAGAAAATGTATAATTGGAACAGTAGATTTATCCAAGATAAATCAGCATTGGATCTAGTCAGCGGAAAGAATGGCTGAATCCTTTATTGAGTAACTCTCAAATATAATAGTTTCAGTGTGGCTTTATCTCTTGTTGAGATGACATTAAGTACAAACTGAATATTGAAAAAATTAGGGCTGGGCACGGTGGCTCACACCTGTAATCCCAGCACTTTGGGAGGCCAAGGCGGGTGGATTGCTTGAGGTTAGGGGTTCGAGACCAGCCTGGCCAACATGGTGAAACCCTGTCTCTACTAATAATATAAAAATTAGCCAGGCGTGGTGGCATGCGCCTGTAATCCCAGCTAGTCAGGAGGCTGAGGCAGGAGAATCGCTTGAACCTGGGAGGCAGAGGCTGCAGTGAGCTGAGATTGCATCACTGCACTCTAGCCTGGGGTTGAGAGAGTGAAAATCCGTCTCAAAAAAAAAAAAAAAAAAAAAAAAAAACAAGAAAGAAAAGAAAAGATTAGAACAATAAACTGGACACTATTCTGTCTTTTGATTTATTTAGGGCTCCTGGGGCACTTGTTTTCAAAGGGCAATTGAATTGCATGAGGCAGCCTTGCAAGGAATAACTGAAGTCTCTTTCAAATTATTCAACATTCGTAAGCAATTTAATTGCTTAAGGGCAATCTCTGATAAAGATGACCCCAAAAAGGATAGCAATTTTTAATTAGGAGTTAAAAAAGTAACATTTTGGAGAATTGTGGAAAAAAAACTGAAGGATTTAGAGAATGAGACTTGTTTAGAGAGAGAAAAGGGACAGAATGAATATGTAATTACTAAAAAGCACCCCTCTCTCCTTTTCTAATGATAAAAAAGAGCAATATCATCAAAATCTAATCTCAGGGAAAGCAGTAACAAGAGGACATGACCTATCATCTCACTATACCAATTACTATCTCTTGCCCCTTTGTTTTTACTTTACCACGAATTACTTCATTACTTTGAAAGGATTTTTTAAAAATCTGGAGTCATTATGTAAGTATTTTCAATTGTGGTCTGAAAAACTGATATTAGAATTCCCTTTTAAAATCTTTAACCTCTTGGAAACAAAGGAAATTCCAATAAACTGACACTGCTTGCACCATTTATTTAGTGCTCTTTCCCTTATAAACATCTCAAAAGGCAGCACTCAGAAATACAGCTGCCCTCGTCTGCAGTGACTTTCCCACAGTTCCAATAAATGTCATTGATGCTTTCATTCAGAAAACATTACCCCCACACACACACTCCCTTGGATTTTTTGATATTTCCTTGCTGATAATAATGACACATATGCTTCACTTGGAAAAGTAGATGTGTTGGTTCCTCAAAAGCTTTTCAAAAATCAATAGTGTGCAAACTGATGCATGAGGTCATAGAGAAATTCTGTTACTTTGAAATTTCAAAGTGTTTTCATCCATGTATCTGATGGATCTTCAATTGTCAAAAGGCTCTTCAATGGCCCCCTTGTAGCCATGTGTAGTAAAGGGCCCGTAAATAGTCATGAGGTTGAGGATAACAGAGAATTTAAGGAGGTCTTTTATTAAGCCAATCTTTGAGGGTTTTTTTGCTCGGATTTTACTATATCATTTTAGGTTTTGGTAACACTTCCCCGTATTTAGTTTGAACAAAATTCAATAATGTCAGCCCACTAAATATTCCAAAATCATCAGGGAAACAGTCTCAATAGAGAAGGGCTTTCTGAGTTATTCCTCCCCCTCTTCTACTATTCACTTTTCAGCTACTTTTCTAAAAGCGTCATTGAAATCACATATCCTTTTGGTCAGTGCTAGAAGAAGAGGGCTTTCTGACTGTGAAACCAGCTCCTTCTTAGCAACAGATGACACACACGCACCCGGAATAGCTACAAGCTCTATGCTCTCTGTGTGTCTCTTGTATGATCAGTGACAATTTGCTTAGTTTCCCCTCACCTGCTTCCTAGCTGGTAATTACCCAGAGACAGAATCTTTGTGTAACCCTGACTTACAGCATTAGAATAGGATGTAATTGTACCAAGTGTAATTGGCTTCAGTGGCAGAGCCCCATTAACCTGGCACAGCCATTCTTAAAGCAGCCTGTGATCTAGCTCATTACATTTTATCTTCAGTAATAAGGAAAGTTACGACCTTTGCTGTTCCTGTCTTAATGTATTTACGTGGACATGTCACCCAGGATGTCAAAACATACAGTGTCATCAAAATGCAGAGGCAGGCCAGCCATCTATACTCAGAGTGGCTAAAAATTGAGTTCCAAATGTGATGCAAATAAAAGACATAACCCATCCATAAAGAGCGTCCTGAGAGGTCCAGCACAGGAAAAGCCTTCTGCTGGGAGAGTTACCCTCACCCCCAGGGACTCTCCCTCTCCAACAACACAATTGGTCAATTTCTGACTGCTGAGCTCTGTGCCCTGGCAGAGGGGCATGGGAAGATTCCCCAATACCTATGCGTTCCCACAGTATAAGAAATAGCTGGAAGAACAAATCCAGTTAGTTCATCTCTTTTCTCAATACAGCCTGGTATGTTCCTTGAACAGTTAGTTGTCTGAGAGGCAGTGTGGAAGGAGACCTAGACTGGGTCCTAACCTCAGGTTGGGGCAGAAGCTGCCAGGTAAACATGAGCAAAGTACTTATGCACTCTGGGCTCAGGTCGCCCATCTGTAAAGTAAGAATATTGGCTTAAGTGGTATCTAAGATTATTTTGAAGTAAAAATTTCAAAACAGCCAAATATATGTCATATTTTATTTTTTAAAATATCTGAATAGAATTAAATTTTGTCACACCAATTCTCCCTTTTATTCAGAAATAAGACATAATATCTACCCATCAGACCTGTGTCTGATAAAGGCAGCCCAAAAACAATTTGGTAATTAAAGAAAAAAAACTGTGTATTCTGAGGGCTTTAGAATGTGCTAGAAAATCAGAATGGTTTTGACCTGAACATTTGATTTTACGTTTGTGATGATTAGCTTTATGTGTCAATTTGGCTAATCTATATTACTCAGTTATTCAAACATTAATCTAGGTATTGCTGTGAGGTATGTAATAGATGTAGTTAACAGCCACAGTCAGTTGACTTTAAATACAGGAGATTACCCTTGATAATATGGATGGGCCTCATACAATCAGTCGAAAGGCTTTAGGGATAAAAACTGAGGTTTCCCCAAAGGAGTAATTCTACCTGTGAATGAGACCAGCTCCTGCCCAAGAGTTTCCGGCCTGTTTGCCCCACATATCTCTGACATGCCCAGCCAGACCATACAATTTCATAAACTAATTATACATATGTGTGTAGTGGTATGTATAATATACACATACACACATATGCATAATACACATATGTGTATATTATACACACACATATATATAATTGTGTATAATTGTGTGTATGTATATGTATACGTACATACATATATATGCATATTCTACTACTATTGTGGGTTGAATTGTGACCCAAAAAGATATGTTAGATACATTAGGATCTGAACCTTCATGCTAATTAGGTCATACTGTATTAGGGTGGGTCCTAAATCCAGTGATTGGTGTCCTTATAAGAAAAGAAAATGTGAAGACACAGAAGAGTCACAAGAAAGAAAGTCATGTGAGATAGAGGAAGAGACTGGAGTTTGGCTACCACAAGTCAAGGAAAATCAATGATTGTCAGCAACCACAGGAAGCTAGAAGAACTAAGAAAAGTTTCTAGAGCCTTCAGAGGAACCATGGCCCTGCTGACACCTTGCTTTTGGACTTCCAGCCTCCAGAAATATGAGAGAATACATTTCTATTGTTTTAAGCCATCCAATTTGTGGTAACTTGTTACAACAACACTAGGAAACCAATATACCTAATTTTCCTACTGCTTCTGTTTGTTTGGTAGAGCCCTGACTAATATGATGTTCTTTTGATGAAAATCCATCTTTGTAATAAAATTACAGGACTCTTTTCTCAAGCTATGTCCATAACTACTTTTTCACAAGTGGAACTACTGAGAAATGTACGCAGAAAAAAAGTCATGGTCAAATAATCGCGATAAATATTTGAAAAAAAGTAACACTGGCTTCTTTTTTATTGATACAAAAGATTTTACATATTTATGGGGTACACGTGAGTATTTGTTACATGCATGGGATGTATAAAGATCAGGTCAGAATATCTGGGTTATCCATCACCTTATGTATTTATCATTTCCATGTGTTGGTAACATTTCAGGTCTCCTCTTCTAGTTACTTTAAAATATACAATACATTGGTGCTAACCATAGTCACCTTACTCTGCCATTGAATATTCGGGCTTATTTCTTGTACCTCTCTGTAAGTTTGTACCCATTAACAGCCTCTCTTTATCCCCTCTCCAATCAACAAGCCCTTCTCAACCTGTGGTATCTATCATTGTATTCTCTACCATCATGATATCAGTTTTAATTCAGCTCTCACATCTGGATGAGAGTATGCAGCATCTGTCTTTCTGTTCCTGGCTTATTTTACTTAACATAATAACTTCCAGTTCCACTCATGTTGCTACCAATGACATGATTTCATTCTTTTTTATAGCCAAATATTATTGATTTATGCATATATACATTTTCTTTATCGATTAATTTGTTGTTGGACACTTAGATTTATTCTGCATCTTTGTTATTATGAATAGTGTTGCAATAAACATGTGAGTGCAGGTATTCCTTTCATACACAAATTTATTTTCCTTTGGATAAATACCCAGTAGTGGGATTGGTGGATCATATGGTAGTTCTATTTTACATTTTTTTAAGAATATCTATACTGTTTTCCATAGTGGTTGTACCATTTTACATTTCCATCGACAGTGTATGAAAGTTTCCTTTTCTCCACATCCTCACCAGCATCTGTTATTTTTTGTCTTTTTAACAATGTCCATTCTGACTGTTGCAAGGTGAACTCTCTCATGGTTTTGGTTTACTTTTTATTGCAGGTCTGCTCAGTCTTTAGTGTGTCATGTCTCTAAAAGGGATCAATAGGGGGCAGTATTTTCCAAAATTATATATGCTTTATTCACATTACATTTACATTTACTTCAGGTTTCCAACTTAGCCTGGCATCAATATAACATTTGTCCACTTGGGGTTGAAAAGAATGGGCTTTGCTGATAATATTATATTTTATGGCTTTCATTCAATAATATCAGCTGACAATTAAATTTGCTACTTAGCAACATAATATAAAACCATCTGTCTCAAAAGCAATATTTAGATTTATATACCATCTCTTTCTACTTAAAAAGTTGCAATAGTTTTTTTTCCCCAAGATGGCAGATTGGAGGCAATGTTAGCGTAACTCTCCCACTTTGCAGGACAAAATAGTGTATAGAAGTTCACACTGTGAACTTTTTTTCAAAAAGCAATGCAGAAATGTAACCAGAAAACCAAAAGATTCCATAGATCCTTTCAAAGATGCAGGAGGCTGCAGCCTGTGCAATGAGCCAGGTGAAAAACTTTAAGTCCCCAGAGAGGGAGAGAGGGAGAGGCTGCCTCCAAGATACACACCCCCATGGGGGAACCTGAAAATCCAGGCCACAGAGAATGGCCTTAACCCTACTCAGTGCCAGAACAGATTTAGGGAATGGTGAGAAATATACAAGTAGGAGCAACTGTGTTTAGAGCTTTTCCACACATTTCCAGTTTCCAGCACAGACCAAGGGAAGTCATTCCTTATTATACCTCACAGAGTACCTCAAGGAAGTCAGCCAACTAGCTCAGGCAGTGATCACACATTGAAAGAAGCTCCCAGCTGAATTTTGCAACATAACATCCAGTGGTGATAAACTCTCTTGGTCAAAATTGGAGGTACCAGTGTGAAGTGTGCTGCAGCCAGGAGCACAGGAACCAGGTGCCTGGCTTTTTGGGTGGACTAGGAGGAGTGTGGCCTGAAAATTACTGGGGCAGCTTTCGGTTCTGAGGGCAGGCTGCCTGGAACTTAGCTTGCTGCTGCTAGTAGAGCACTGTGGGAGCGAGGTTTGTCTAGCCGAGGGAGTGGGAACTGGCTGGGGCTTACTGCAGCCTGCTACTCCAGACTTTTTGCATGAATTATTCTGTGCAGCACAGGCAGCAATGCTGCTCTCTGGAACATTGCCCAGTGGCCAGAGAACCTCCCTCTGGCCCCTGCAGGGAACACTGCTTGCTGCACATGCAGAGTCACAGCGCAGACCCATGTGAGACAGCCCCTACCTGGCTTTTCCCCTCCACCTGCCCTGGTAGCATAACACAAGGGACAGAAACTTTTGGGAGCTTTATGGCTCTGCTTATTGCCTGAGAAACCAGAGTACCTCCCCTGGGCAACATAAGGCAAGCACAAATCCCACTGTTACTACTGCAGCTGGTGCTCTTTTGCAAGTACCACCTCATGACTGGAGGCCAACAGACACTGTCCATTACAGCATCTCCTGGTAGAATAACACTGTACCCAGGAGGGAGAAAGCTGGTGCATGACCTCAGCTATGACCATTGCCTGCACCACAGTGGCTAACCAGGAGGTCCTGAGTCTGTCCACTAATATAACCAGCTCTAATGGAGGTGGCAGGGGAATGATGTAAACTCTGAAATACCTTGGTTATTGATAGCCTTAGTGTGTTGGCTTTCTTGAATGATGGCTATAGTAGTAATAAACTAGTCACATGGACAGACTCAAGATCTCTGAGTTAGCCAGAGTAGTGCATGAAAGGGTGATAACAGAGATCACACTAAGGCTATCTATAAGTAAGGAATCTCACAGAGTCTACATCAATCCCCGGCCACCCCTATCAGAGCTGGTGCTGGTACCTGCTGTTGGAAGACTTGAGGACAGGTCATATAACTGGATCCCTTCGTGCTGGTACCCACTGCTGGGAGACTTGAGGGCAGGTCACATCACTGGATCTCTTGCAGACATTCCCCAACACCAGCCTGGAGTGTGGCAGTCCCACTGGGTGACTGGACCCAGAAGAGCAACAGCACTCACAGTAGTCTGGCTCTCAGGAACTTCTATTCCTAGGGGAAGGGGGAGTGTACCACCTCAAGGGAAGCTGCTGTGGGACAAAGGAATCTGGGTGGCAAGTCTTGAATACCAGGTCTTTCCACTCTTGGGAAGTTTCTGTCAACAAAGTCACAGGTGCAGTGATGGGCTCAGCAGGGAAAGTCTGCAGCTCTACCCCAACAGTAAGGCAGCCCTGGTCCTCATGAAGGGTTATGGAGAAGGGGGCTTCTTATCTTCCTCATTCACCACTGCAGGCATAGCGGGGGCTTCTCACACAGGTATGTGGTGTGGGTACACCTATAACCAGCCTCTCTGGAATACTTCAGGGTGATTGCATCCTCACAGGAAGAGCATCTTCCAGGCTCAGCTTGCACAATAGGCAGAGTCACAAATCTTCCCTACTTGGAACATCAACATTCTTACAAATGAAAAGAGGTGCCTGTCTGACCTGAACAGCCAGAACACTGAGATAGGAGTGTGTCTGGGAAGTGGATAGCTTTCCTGCTGGCCTAGCAGGGCAGCTGAGGTAGCTCCCGCTCTTCCCACTGAGAAGACTTTGCAGCATCTCACCGAGAGTTCCCTCAGAAACCTGTTCAATGCTGAACCTCTGCCCACCATTGGGTATTACATTGACCCACCTGCTTTAGCCACAACCAGTTCATACCCAAGGACACCTTCTCTACTTCCCTGAAGCCTGAACCATCAACCCAATAAATAAAATACTGGGGAAAAGTAAATAAATAAATAAATAAGTGTGCATGATGAGGGAATGGGAGAAGCTTCAAGAGACCTCTGCCATTCTAACCCCATAGGAAAACAGTGAACTTGCTCACACACCAAGCACATTGCTACTACAACCAGCATCTGGGAAAACCATCATTAAAGACTGTCTATAACAAAGGAATTCATACCACAGTCTTCACCCCTAAAAGCATCAAGAAACAAATTAGGCTATAATATACTATAAATATTAAAGTAACATCCTCAAGATGGAAAAAACTTTTAAGAACACAGTCAAATCAAAAATAAATTCAAGAATAATGGAAGAAATAGTCTATCCAAATGAAAAGGAATCAGTAAAGAAACTCTGGTAAGGTGACAAAATAGAGTTCAATAACACGCCCTCAAAAGATCACACTAGCTTTCCAGCAATGGATCCAAACCAAGATGAAATAATTGGAATATCAGATAAGGAATTCAGAAGGTCAACTCTTAAGTTACTCAAGGAGATACCAGAGAAAGGTGAAAACCAACCTAAAGAAATATAAAAAAATCAGGATGTGAATAAAAAATTTTCTAGTGAGATAGATGTCATAAAGAGAGACCAATCAATCAGAACTTCTGGAAATAAAATACACACTTAGGGAATTACAGAATTTAGTGGAAAGTTTGAACAATAGACTACAACAAGTAGAAGAATGAATTCAGAGCTGGAAGACCAGGATTTGGATTAACCCAATCAGACAAAAATAAAGAAGAAAACATCAAAAATGAACAGTCTACAAGAAATCTGAGATTATATAGAGCAGTGAAATATAAGAATAATTGATGTTCCTGAGGGAGAGGAGAAAGCAAAAAATATGGAAAACCTATTTGAGGGAATAATTGAAGAAAGCCTCCCTGGCCTTGTTAGGAATTTGATATCCAAATACTAGAAGCTCAAAGAACTCCTGGGAAATTCATTTCAAAAAGATCTTCACCAAGGCATATAGTCATCAGGTTATCTAAAGTCATCATTAAGGAAATAATTATAAGGTCAGTGAGACAAAAGCATAAGGGAATCCATAAACGAAAACCTATCAGACTAACAGTAGACTTTTCAGCAGAGAACTTACAAGCCAGAAGGGATGTGGGTCCTATCTTTAACCTCCTTAAACAGAATAACTGTCAGCAAAGAAATTTGTACCTAGCAAAACTAAGTTTCATAAATGAAGGAGAAATAAAGCCATTTTAGACAAACAAATGCTGAGGGAATCTGTCACTCCCAAACCAACATTACAAATAATGCTGAAAGCAGTTCTAAATCTTGAATCAAAAGCTCAGTACACACCAAAATAGAAACTCTCGAAACCATAAAACTCACAGGGGCTATGAAACAGTAACACAGTGAAAAAAAACTAAGTTTCTAGGTAACAACAAGCATGATGAATGGAACAGTACCTCATATCTCAATATTAACATTGAATGTTAATGGCCTAAATACTCCACTTAAAAGATACAGAATGGCATAATTAGCAAACAATCACAAACCAAATATCTGTTGTCTTCAAGAGGCCTAACACATAAGGATTCCTATAAACTCAAGGGAAAGGGGTGAAAAAACAGATTTCATGCAGATGAAAACCAAAAGTGAGGAGTAGCCATTCTTATATCAGACAAAACAGACTGTAGAGCAACAACAGTAATAAAGACAAAGGTCATTAATTAAGGATAAAAAGATGTACCCAACAAGAAGATACTGTAATCCTAAATTTAAACGCACTTAACACTGGAGCTCCCAGATTCATAAAACAATTACTACTTGGTATGGTTTGGTTCGTTGTTTCCACCAAATCTCATGTCAAATCATAATCCCCAATTTTGGAGGTGGGGCCTTGGGGGAAGTGATTGGATCATAAGGGTGGGCCTTCATGAATGACTTAGCACCATCCCCTCAGTGTTACTCTCATCATAGTGAGTAATTGAGTTATAATGAGCTCTGGTTGTTTACAAGTGTGAAACCTCCCTTCCTCTCTCTCTTCCTTTTGCTCCAGCCATGCAAGATGTGTCTGCTTTCCCCTCGCCTTCTGCCATGATTGTAAGTTCCCTGAGGCCTCCCTAGAAGCAGATGCTGCCATTCTTCCTTTACAGCCTGTGGAACAGTGTGCCAATTAAACTTCTTTTTTTTACAAATTACCCAGTCTCAGATATTTCTTTATAGCAGTGTGAGAACTGACTAATGCACTACTAGACCTAAGAAATATTGAGATAGCAACATAACAAGAGTGGGAGACTTCAATACACTGCTGATAGCACTAGACAGGTCATCAAAACATAAAGTCAACAAAGAAACAATGGACTTAAATACTCTAGAACAAATGTACTTAACATATATTTATAGAACATTCTACCCAACAACAGAAGAATGTACATTTCTCTCATCAGCAAGTGGAACATTCTCCAAGATAGACCATATAATAGGCCACAAAAAAAGTCTCACTAAATTTTAAAAAATTGAAATCTTATCAAGTATCTTTGCAGGCCACAGTGGAAAAAACTAGAAATCAACTCCAAAAAGAACCCTCAAAACTATACGAATGCATGGAGATTAAATAATCTGCTCCTGAAAGATTTTCAGGTTAACAATAGAATCAAGATGGAAATTTAAAAATTCTTTGAAATGAATGATAATAGTAACAAAAGTTAATAATACCTCTGGGATACAAGAAAAGCAGTGCTAAGATTAAAGTTTACAGTGCTAAATGACTACATCAAAAAGTCTGAAAGAGCACAAATTGACAACCTAATGTTACATGCCAAGGAACTAGAGAAACAAGAACAAATTAAACCCCAAATTAGCAGAAGAAAAGAAATAACAAAAATCAGAACAGCGCTAAATGAAATGGAAACAAAAAACACAAAAGATCAATAGAACAAAAAGCTGCTTCTTTGAAAAGATAAACAAAATATTTGATAGACCATTTAGCTAGATTAACCAAGAAAAAGAAAGAAGATCCAAATAAGCTCAATTAGAAATGAAACTGAAGACATTTACAAGTGACATCACAGAAATATGAAAGATCACTTGAGACTATGATGAACAACTTTATGCTCACAAAGTAGAAAACCTAGAGGAAATGGATAACTTCCTGGAAACATACAATCCTAGATTAAATCAGGAAGAAATAGAAACCCTGAACAGACCAATAACAAGCAGTGAAATTGAATCAGCAATAAAAATAAATTGACAACAACAAAAGGCCCAGGGGCAGATAGATGAATTCACAAGTGAATTTTACCAGACATTCAAAGAAGAATTGGTACCAATTCTACTGAAACTATTCCAAAAGATTGAGAAAGAGGGAATCCTCCCTAGGTCATTCGACGAAGTTGGTATCATCCTGATACTAAAACCAGGGAAGGACATAACAAAAAAAAAGAAAACTACAGACCAGTATCCCTGATAAACATCGACGCAAAAATTCTCAACAAAATACTAGCAAACCAGATCCAAAGGCATAATCAAAAAAATAATAAATCATGATCAAGTGGGTTTCATCCCAGGGATGTATGAATGGTTTATCATACACAAGTCAATAAACATGATACATCACATAAACAGAATTAAAAACAAAACCATATGATTGTCTCAGTAGATGCAGAAGAAAGCATTTGATAAAATCCAGCATTCTTTTATGATAAAAAAAAAACTCAACAAATGAGGCATAGAATGAACTTACCTTGAAATAATAAAAGCCATTTATGGCAAACCCAAAACCAACATCATACTGAATGGAAGAAAGTTGAAAGCATTTCCCCTGGCAATTGGAACAAGACAAGGAGTCCCACTTTCACCACTTACATTCAACAGAGTAGTGGAAGTCTTAGTCAGAGCAATCAGGCAAGAAAAATAAATAAAGGGCATCCAAGTTGGAAAGGGCTTTCTAGGTGTACAATCATATCATTGGTACAAACTATCAGGGTTCACTGATGACACAATTGTACACCTAGAAAGCCCTGGAGACTCATCCAAAGTCTCCCATATTTGATAAACAAATTCAGTAAAATCTCAGGTTACAAAATCAATAAAATACAAATACCTAGGAATACACTTAACAAAGGAGGTGAAAGATCTTGAGAAGAATTACAAAACGCTGCTGAAAGATATTGTAGAGGACACAAGCAAACGGAAACACGTCCCATGCTCATGGATTGAAAGAATCAATATTGTGGAAGTGACTATACTGCCCAAAGCAGTCTTCAGGTTCAGTGCAATTGCTATCAAAATACCAAACATCATTTTTCACAGAATTAGGAAAAAACAGTGTAAAATTCATATGGAACCAAAAAAGATCTCAAATAGCCAAAGCAATCCTAAGCAAATGGAATAAATCTGGAGGAATTATATTGCTGGAGTTCAAATTATACTACAAGCCTATAATTACCAAAACAGTATAATGCTGGTGAAAATGGGGACCACATGGACCAATGGAACGGAGTACAGAACCTGAAAATAAAGCCAAATACTTACAGCCAGATCTTCAAAAAAGTATACAAAAAATACACTGGGGAGGGGAAACCTGTTTTATAAATGGTGCTGGGAAAACTGGCAGGCCACATGTGAAAGAACGAAACTGGGTCCCTGTATCTCACCTTGTACAGGAGTCATATCAAGGTAGATGAAAGACTTGAAACTAAAACCTGAAAACATAAAAATTCTACAAGATAATATTGGAAAAACTCTTCTGGACATTGTCCTCCGCAAAGAATTAATGACTAAGACCCTGGGAGCAAATGAAACAAAAACAAAAATAAATAAATGGGATCTAATTAAACTAAAATGTTTCTTCACAGCACAGGAGATAATCATCTACGTGAACAGACGACCTGCTGAGTAGGAGGAAATATTTGCGAACTATGCATCCACCAAAGACTAGTACCCATAATCCACAAGGAACTGAAACAAACCAGCAAGAAAAAAACAAATAATCCCATCAAAAGGTGGGCAGAGGACATGAATAAACATTTCTCAAAAGACAATCTACAAACGGCCAACAAACATGAAGTGATGCTTTACATCACTAAGCATCAGGAAAATGCAAATTAGTACCACAGTGAAATACCACCTTACTCCTTCAGGAATGGCCATTATTAAAACGTCGAAAACCAATATATGTTGGCATGGGTGTGGTGAAAGGGGAATGCTTATGGCTTATGCACTGCTGATGACTGGCATGTAGATTAGTACAGCCTCTAGAGAAAACAGTATGGAGATAGCTCAGGCAACTAAAAGTAGATCCGCCATTCAATCCATCAGTCCCACTGCTGGTTATCTACCCAAAGGAAAAGAAATCTTTATATGAGAAAGACACATACACACATATGTTTATAGCAGCACAACTCACAGTTGCAAAGATATGGAACCAATCTAAGAGCCCATCAACCAGTGAGTAGATAAGGAAAATATAGTATATATGCACCATAGAAAACTACTCAGCCATGAAAAGGAACACAATAATGTCTTTTGCAGCAACCTGGATGGAGCTGGGGGCCATTGCTCTAAGTGAAGTAACTCAGGAATGAAAAACCTAATACAATATGTTCTCACTTGTGAGATCTGAGCTATAAGGATGCACATCAAACAAAGTGGTATAATAGATTTGGAGACTTAGAAGGGGAAGGGTGGAAGGCGGGTGAGGAATAAAAAACCACATATTGGGTACAATGTACACTACTCAGGTGATGGATGCACTAAAATCTCATATTTCACCTATAAAATTCATTCATGTAACCAAAATCTACTTGTACGTCAAAAGCTATTGAAATGTTTTTTACAACTCAAAAAACTGAAACTTTATTCATGTTAAATATCAGCTCCCCATTTCACCCTCTCCCTATCTCCTGGCAAGTACCATTCTACTCTCTGCTTCTATGAGTTTGACTATTTCATACCCCACACATAAATTAAATCAGAATGACAAATCAGTATTTGTCATTCTGTTACTGTCACTTCATTTAGCTTATTGTCCTCAGGGTTCATCCATGTTGTCATACATGGCAAGATTTCCTTTTTTTCTTTTTCCTTTTTTTTTACAGCTGAATAATGTTCCATTGTACTATATGCCACATTTTCTTTATCTATTTATCCTTTCATGGACATCTGTTTCTACACCTTAGCTATTGTTTGTAAATGGTAGTGTAGTGAACATGGGTGCACGGATATTATTCCCAAATTCAGTTCTTTTGGGTGATTATCCAGAGGGGCAGTTGCTGAAACATATGAAAGTTCTACTTTTAATTTTTGTGAGAAGCATCCATACAGCTACCTATGGAGGCTGCATCATTTTACATTCCTAACAGAAGTGTACTAGGTCTCCAATTTCTCCACATAAACAATGCTTATTATCTTTATTTAAAAGCAAAAACTATCCTAACAGGCGTGAGGTGATATCTAATTGTGCTTTGGACTGGCATCTCCCTGATGATTAATGAAGTTGAGCATCTCTACGTATACCTGTTGGCCGTTTGTGTTTCTTTTTTGAAGGGATGTCTGTTCTGATTATTTGCATATTTCTTAATTACATTATTTTATTTATTTGCTATTGAGTTGTAAGATTACATTATATATTTTAGATATTTGGATATTTTGGATATTAATCTTTTATTACATATATGGTTGGTGAGTATTTTCTCTCACTCTGAGTTGTTTCTTTGCCTTGTTAATTCTCTCCTTTCTGGTGCCAGAAATATTTTGGATTGTAATAGTCTCACTTGCCTATCTTTGCATTTATTATTTGTATGTTTGGTATCAGGTTCTGGACCACTTACATGAAACTTTCTCCCTGTGTTTTTTTCTGGGAATTTTAGTTTCATGTTTTATGTTTAAGTCCTGCTCCATTTTGAGTTGACTTTTGTATGTGGTGTAGGAGGGGGATAGGGGAGTCCAGTTGTATTCTTTCACATGTGAACATCTGATTTTCCCAGCACTATTTGTTGAAGGGACAGTCTTTTTGCCATTGTGTATTCTTGGCACCCCTTGCCAAAGTCCATTGATCATATATGCATGGCAATGTTTCTGGGCTCTCTAGTCTGCTCCATTGGTTTGTATATCTGTCCTTGGTCCAGTACCATACTGTTTTAATTACCTTTTAAATTATTGTCGTTTTGTAATATGTTTTGAGATCAGGAGGTGTGATGCCTCCAACTTTGTTTTTCCTTTTCAAGATTGTTTTGGCTATTCGGTGTCCATCACCATTTCATATAAATTTTAGTATTGTCTATGCTATTTTTGTAAATGCTACTTTGGGATTTTGATGGGGATTGCAATGAATCTTGGGATTGCTTTGAGGGAGTGTGGACATTTTAACAATATTAAGCTTTCCAATCAGTGTCTTTTCATTTAACTGTGTCATCGTTAATTTTCCATTAAAGTTTTACAGTTTTCAGTGTGATAAAACTTGCAATAGTTATATCAACTTGTCAATTTCAGAATTTATTCATTGTTTAATAAAATAATTTAACAAATGATACAATATTTTTCATATAAAATAAAATATTTAACAAAATACACTGAAATTGCCTAAGCATGGATTACTACCAAGCAGTTTAGAATTCAATCTTTGGCAACAGCAATTAATGAAAGACATAATTTTAAAGCAAGGTGTTCCTTATGTACTTTATCTTCTTAAACTTCAGTTGGAAACTATATATCTAACAACTCAGTTTTCATTAGAAAGTTGGCTATAAATTCTCTCTGGCCATTGTGCGGGATTTAAACTCTGGGCTATGTCACTACAGTGTTATTTGCATAGCAGTTACTGAACTGAGTTTCCAAGCTGTGTTCTGTAGAATTACAAAAGTTTCAGTGGGGGCAGGGTAGGGTGAAGTTGAGTGTAAAGCAGGAGAGTGTGAGCATCTTATCCTACTCCCCCTGCTACCAATAAGGACAAGAGTCCCTCTCTTCTCTTTTTAATATATTAGAATCCTGGGTAAGATTCCAGTGGAAAATACACTGTTACAGCTTAAAGAAAAAAGTACCAAGCTGCTCAGTTCTTACTTCTCACTACTTTTCTATACCTTACAAGAATAATGGCACTGTTCATATTTTCAGCAGTCACTTTTCTCTTTCTTTCCCATAGTTTCTCTTATACTCCACTGAGTTTTCTAATTTTGAACTTTGAATCCTGTGTCTTGCCTCCTTCATGCCCAGTTGAGAAGGAATATAAATAAAGGAAATACACTACATTTCCCTATGAGATGTCCCTCTAACTCTGTGACTCTACTTTCGTAATCATCAGGATTTCCCTGAAAACTTGAGTATCTACATAAACAGAAAGAAAATGAAACTAATATTTATGAAATTGTCTACTGTATGATTTTACATAGTATTTATTCTCACCATGTGAGATACTTCACATGCATTCTCCCTTTTACATACACTACCTTACTCCCCCTTCCAGTAGGTGTACTAAAATAGCTAATGCCTTTTTTTTGCTTCTTGGAATGTGGAAAATAACTGTGTCCCTGACTAAATTAATTGAGTAACACTCTAAGGTATTTCATTCACATATAGGCTGGTCTAAGATATGTGAAGGTTACCCTAAGCAAGTGACTTTCGGGATAAGATCTGAAGGATGAAGATGCATTAACTAAGAGAAGGAGAAAGCAGGAAGAACAATCCAGGAAGAAGGAGCAACATTTCAAAGACTCTGAATCAGGCAGGAAGCAAACAAAGCCAGTGATGCTGGAGGGAGCCGAACAAAGGAGAGAATGGAACAAGGTGTGATTGAAGAATTAGGCTGAGGCCACACCATATAGAACACTGTAGGCTATGATAATGATTTTAGTTTCTGTTTTAAAAGGAATATGAATCAATTGAAGGGTTACATGCTAAGGGGAGAGGGAAGTGCAAAGTGAGGTATGACGATCAGATTTTTTTTGAACTGACCATTCTGGCTGTCATGGTGTTTTGATTGGATGAAGACAAGGGTGGATGTGGGGAGACTAGTGAGGACAGAATTTCAGTTGTCTAGGCAAAAGATGATGGTGACATGGAGTAAGTATTAAATACTCTGACTTCCCATCTCATTCTTCCATGCAAAAGCAGTTACCTCCAAATGTGTGCTGATTTATTCTCCATTCCCTCCTCTGCCCTGCTTAGATCCACTTTGTGCTTTTTTCTGCCCATCATGTGTTCTTGAGATGGACCCTTGCTGGATGTCTTCTGGGTGGATTTTAGCCCATAGGAGGTATCAGTGGGACATTTGTGGGTGGAAAGAGAGAGAGAGAAGTTAGAGTAGCATTTCTCTTCAACTCACTTCTTCTGTACTGCTTCTCTGGAGGTAGTTGCATTCCTCCACACTTACAAGTCCTGCTAGCTGGCCTTCTCTCCAGGAATCCAGCTGTTATTGATCTCCGGAAACACACTTCCTTCTCTTCACCTCTTCAGAGCTATAGATAATCATGGCTTCCTTCTGCTGCTAGTCTCTGGATAGTCAGCATCCACTGTTGGTTCCTCTAATCTTTCTCCAACTCTGTAAGAGGTCTCTTCACTAATGTCCTTTCATTTGAACCACCTAAGGTGAAAGTTATTTTCTGCTAGAACCATGGTTTTACAAAGTACATTTAAAATAATTATTTTGGGAAGACAAACTTAAAATACTGAGGAGGGGAAACAGACCATACCTATAGAATGCCAAATGTCCATATAAAAAGTGAAAACCTAAATTGTTCTAAACTAACTTGAAGTAAATCCCTACCCTTTGAAGGTGAAATTTGGTCAAACAATAGCCTTAGACAGCACATATCAGGAATAGAATACGGGACTGCCTAAGTTCATAAGAATATTTAGATGAATAGAAACATCTGTAGACAACACATCTAGTTTAGTCCAATTCTCATTCATTGCTGTACATATTTTGGCCATGTAAGTGGAATGAGTTAACTTTGATCAATTATTTCCTCTGTTTGACATATCCTCAGGCTACTGAAGGGAAATCTAGTCTTTTTTTTTAGTTTGTGCAGGACAATGGTGAGTGGATGAGAAAGTAGCTTCTAATACAAGCAATGGTATAACATTAGAAACATAATGACCCTAGGTCAGCCTTACAGACACAGAGGAATAAATAAGCCATTTGTAGGAGTATAAGAGGAAAACCATGTTAAAGATCTCAGAATTCAATTTCTATATGCATTCCATTTACATTAGTCAGTCCCCTCTTAAATGGGTATATTCCTTTTCTAATTCAATGTATGTATATTCTTTTGGCACACACATTCCCAAATACCATACTAGTTTCTTTGAAGAACTTATCAATGATCCAAAGAAAGATATAAAATGTTGATGAGAAAATGCACTGCCTAAGTAATATATGCTCTATATTTGGCTGTTCCTTTTGCTTGCCAATAAGTATACTACATCTCAACAATAAACAAAGAACACTAGACTGAAGTACTGAAAACAGGTTAGTTGATACATGCCATTCTTAGCTTAAACTTTAAGACAAAATTCTTACATTCCATTAAAAAGTGATAGTAAAGAAAGAATGTAACATTTGCAAAAGACCTTAGTCTCCATTTCACTACCAGTTGCCTATACTTTTTCAGGAGACCCCATTTTATGCAGAAGAAACTTCTAGGGTCTTCAAAATCTCTATTGAGTACTCAAGGACAATACACTCCTGCAATGTCCTTAACAATTTTACACCTCAGAAAAAAAAAGTAACTTTTAGAAACGGAATCCAACTTCTTTTCAAGGCTCAGTACAAATCACAAAGCCATTGTTAAGGGCTATTATTCTCCCATGTGACAAAAAAAATTATATATACTTATCCTTCAGTTTTATGGAAGAAAATAAAAAGGCAACTATTAAGATGAGCTTTCTAAGAATGTATAAATGCCATCCAATATACATGAACATGTGCTAAGGCCTATCCCTACTCACCAGCTCAAAATTGCCACTGTGCTATCTGGAGAAAATTTATCTCTTTGGGAGATTTGTTCATTTGGACTTGCAGCATAGGAGCTTGAATATGCTAAACAGAGGCTTTGCTTTGTTTTTATCCATTTTTTGGTCATAGTGAAAGCCCTTTATCTGCACATACAAAGCCATGTTCCATGAGCAGAGGCTCCTAGAAATATCTGTTACCCCAAAGAAAGATGTACGTACAATTTAAAATGGAATCATAATGCACTTCAAGTCTTTTGAGTTGAGATACGAGCATATTGCAAATGGGATAATTTAGTTAAGTCAGTTATTTGGCCACAAGCTGAAACCACTAGCCCAGGCAAATAACTGTCAGTAATATGTTGGTCAGAACTGGAGCCAAGTGTGTTGAATGCATTCTCATCTACAACACATACACTGAGAGGTTTTCAGTTGTGTCTTATAAAAACAAACATGGAACTACTTGTTCTAAAAGAGGAATTTTTAATTTTTGAAGTCCACTGAATATCTTAGGTTGTATCTTGTGTGAAATGAAGAATGGAACATCCTATGTAAGTGAGAAAAAGAACCTTTGGCTCATTAACTCTAATTCTTGGAAGAAGTAAGGTGCTATGGGGCTAGTCCTAGAGGGAATGCATTAGGGATTACTATAGCGGAAAAGTATAACACACAGTTTTTAAAAAGATATAATGAAGACAAAAAAAGGCGTTTCTCAAAAGAAGTTACACAAGCAGCCACCAAACAGAAGATAAATGCTCAACATCATTAATCATCAGAGAAATGCAAATTAAAACTACAATGAAATATTATCTTACACTGGTCATAACGACTATTTTTAAAAATTCAGAGAACAACAGTTGTTGGCATGGATGCAGAGAAAAGGGAAAGCTAATACACACTTGGAGGGAATGTAAATTAGTTCAGCCTCTGTGGAAAATTGTATGGAGATTTCTCAAAGAATGAAAAATTAGGTCTACCATTTCATCTAGCAATTCTACTATGGGTTATCTGTCCAAAGGGAAATAAATCACTATATAAAAATACACCTGCATTCATATGTTTATCACAGCAGTATTCACAACAGCAATGTCATGAAATCACCCTAAGTGTCCATCAGCTGCTGGTTAGATAAAGAAAATGTGGTATATGTACACCATGGAATGCTCTGCAGCCATTTTCATAAAATGTTATGAAGTCACGTCCTTTGAAGCAACATGGATGGGGCTTGAAGCCATTATCCTAAGTGAAATAACTCAGAAACAGAAAATCAAATACAACTTTTTCTCACTTATAAGTGGGAGGTAAACAATGGGTACAAATGAACATAAAGATGGAAATAACAGACACTTCATACTCCAAAAATGAGGAGGTTAAGAGGGGGCAAGGGCTGAAAAATCACCTATTCGTTACAATGTTCACTGCTTGGGTGATAATACATTAGAGGCCCAAACTCCATCATTATACAAAATACACATGTAACAAACCTGCACATGTACTTCCTGAATCTAAAACATAAAAAATTGAATAAATAAAAGATTATAACAACCAACATGACCTAACAAATATTTATTGAACTGTATATACCAAAACTGCAATAAACATATCAAGCCATAAAATATGTTCCACTCTATTTATATTTATATTTTTTATTTTATCTATATATTCTTGTTTAATTGACACATTATAAGTATATATATATATGTAGAGTTCAGTTTGCTGTTTCAAGACATGTAAATGTGGATCAAATCAGGGTAGTAACTATATCTATCACCTCATATGTTTATCATTTCTTTGTGGTAAGAATATTCAAAAACCTTTCTTCTAGTTAGTTTGACATATACAATACCTTTCTGTTAACCGTAGTCAGGATTTTGTGCAATCGACATCAGAGCTTATTCCTCCTACTTAAATGGTATCTTTTTACCCATTACCAACCTCTACCCATCTTCTCCTTTACCATTCCCTCCCTAGTCTCTGGTAACAAATGTTCTATTCTCTGCTTCTATGAGATCAACATTTTAAAAATATGTTTGTAAGTGAGATCACGTGATATTTGGCTTTCTGTGCCTGGCTCATTTCACCTAACATAATGGCTTCCAGTTTCATGTCTATTGCCACAAATGACAGGATTTCATTCTATTTTATAGCTGAATAGTATTCAATTGTGTATATATACCACATGCTCTTTATCCATTCATCCATTGTTGGACAATTCATTGATTTCCTGCCTTGGCTATTTTGAATAGTGCTGCAGTAAATACGGAGGTGCGGGAATCTTTTTGACATACTGATTTTTATTTACTTGGAGCCTGGAGACTGGCCACCATGCCCACCACATCCTGAACCCATGCACACCAAAAGCGGGCCTGAAGACAGGCACACACAGTCAGGCATCTCCCCCTAGTGCCCAAGTATGCTGCCTGTGGGCTTGTCCACCACCACTGACACCTATAAACTCCTCTCCCTGGGGCATGAGAATGTGCCCATCCAGCCTGTCACCACCACCACCACCACTGGCACCCACGCAAACATGCTACCTAGGGGTCTGGAAACTAGCCTGCCCAGCCAGTCACAGCCACTGCTAACACCAGCACAAGCCACTTGGGATGCTGAGAGTTGTTCTACCACAGTTACTGCCATTGCCCAAACAATGTATTCTTACTAGGGGCTCAAGGACCCACCCACATACCCAGTCCACTACTGCCACTGCTGGCATTCAAGTAAGCCACTTGGAAGACCAATAATTGGCCTTCCAGGTCCTGCTAACACCAAGGCCTACATATAACACCCTGGGGCCAAAGAACAGGAACATTTGGCCTGCCATTGCCACCACTGGGGCCCAAGGACTTGTTAATCTGGCATCGTCATCCCCAGCAAAGCATCAACACAGCCTCCACTAACAACAGCAGCCTAAGCCACTGAGAAAACCACAGATACCCACCGTTGTTCTTAACAATGAAATAAATTATACAGAGACTGCCCTGCTGCATACACCAAAAATCAAAAATAAAGTGCCCTATGCAACCCAAACCATAGATACATCTTTATAAAAATCTTTCTCCTACAAAAGCCAATCCAAAACATTAAAAGTGACTGTTATACCAGATATACAAATATCAATGTAAGGTCACAAAAAACAAGAACAAGCAAGGAAATACAACACATCCAAAGGAACACAATATTTTCCCAGCAACAAGTTCCAATGAAAAAGAAATTTGTGAAAAGCCTAAAAAACGTATTCAAAATAATGATATCAAAGAAGCTCAGGGAGATATGAGAGAACAAAGATAAATAATACAAAAAAATCAGAAAACCAATCAGGATACTAATGAGAAATTTATCAAAGAGATACAAATCCTAAACAAGAAACACACAAAAATCCTAAAACTGAAGTATTCAATGAATAAAATAAATAATAAAATTGAGAACTTCAACTATAGACTAGATCAAGTAGAAGAAACAATTTCAGAACCTGAAACACAGGTTTTTTTCCAAATAATCCAGTAAGATTAAAAAATAAATAATAAAAAAATGAAGAAAGCCTATGTGGCATATAGGACACCATAAAATGACAAGTTGTGCAAATTTTGGGTGTTGTAGAAGCTGAAAAGAAGGCAGAGGCATTGAAAGCCTATTTAACAAATTAATAGCTGAAAACATGCCAACTATATAAAGAGTTTTAGACATGGGAATGCTGGAAACTCAGAGATCCGCAAACATAGACAACTCCAAAATGTCTTCTGCATGAATATCTCCTATATGGCATATTACAGTCAAACTGTGAAAAGTCAAAGACAAAGAGATAATTCTAAAAAATAGCAAGACAAAAGCATCTAGTCACATAAAAGGGAACCCCTATCAGACTAATGCAGATTTCCCAAAAGAAACCTTAAAGGCCAGGACAGAATGAGATGATATATTCGAAGTGGTTAAAAAAAAAAAAAAAAAAAACCTGTTAGCCAAGAATACTATATGCAGCAAAATTATCCTTTATAAATGAAAGAAAAATAAAATCTTTCCCATTCAAGAAAAATGGAGGAAATTAATCACCACTGAACTTGCCCTACAAGAAATACTTAAAGGAATCCTATACCTGGAAGTGAAAGGATCATATCTGCTATCATAAAATACGTTAAAGTTTAGAACTTATAAAAATTTAAAGCATGTAAATGAGGAAAAGGAAGGACTCAAATGTTACCACTACCACTGCAGAAACCACTGAACTGCAACAATAAACAATCAGAGAGAAAGAAAGGAACAAAGAATATCCTAAAAAACAGAAAATAATTAACAAATGACAAGGAAAAGTCTGCACCAATCAGTAATAACCTTGAATGTTAACAGATTAAATTTTCCACGTCAAAGGTATAGAATAGCTGAATGGATAAAAAATGGACCAACTACACCCTGCCTACAAGAAATTCACTTCACCTGTAAGGACACAGATAGAGTTTGGATATTATCCCCTCTAAATCTCATGTTGAATTGTAATCCTTAATGTTGAAGGTGGGGACTGGTGGGAGGTGTTTGGATCATGAGGGAAGATTTGTCATGGCTTGGTGCTGTCCTTGTGATAGTGAGTGAGTTCTCACTATCTCTCTCACTGTGAAAAAGTATATGGCACCTCCCGACGCACCCTTTTGTGCCCACTCCTGCTATGTGACATATGCTGCCCCTTCAGCTTCTGCCATGATTGTAAGCTGCCTGAGGCCTCACCAGAAGCAGATGCTGGTGCTATGCTTCCTGTACAGACTGCAGAACCATGACTCAATTAAGCTTCTTTTCTTATAAATTATCCAGTCTGAGGTATGTTTTTATAGCAACAAAAGAATGGCCTAATACAGACACATATAGTTTCAAAGTGAAGGAAGGGAAAAAATATTTTCCATGCAAGTGGAAACCAAAGGGAGCAAAGGCAGCTGTACTTACATTAGATAAAATAGACATTAAGTCAAAAAGGTAAAAAAAAAAATTAAGGTCATTATATAATAATAAAAAAGATGAATTATGCAAGAGGATATAACAATTCTAAATATATATGCAATCAACATTGAACCACTCAGATATATAAAGCACAGATCAGTAGTTCTAAAGGGAGAGATAGACTCCACTATAATAACAGTTGGGGACTTCAGCAACTCACTCAGCACTAGAGAAATTATCTAGACAGAAACTCGACAAGGAAACATTACATTTAAATGGAAATTTAAATCAAATGAATGTAATAGACATTTGCAGAATAATTTATTCAACAACTACACAATACATCTTTATCTTAACAGTACATGGAATATTCTCCAGGAAAGATCATATACTAAGCCACAAAACAAGTTTCAACAAATTTTAAAAACTCAAAATTATATAAAATATCCTCTCAGGTCACAATGGATTAACAACACTAAAAATCAATATCAAGAGGAACTTCGGAAACTAAACAAATACATAAAAATCAAACAATATGCTCCTGAATGACCACTGGATCAAGAAAGAAATTAAAGTGGAAATCAAAAAATTTCTTGAAACAAATGAAAATGAAAACACAAGATATGAAAACCTATGGAGTATAGCAAAAGCAGTGTTAATACCAAAGTTTGTAAGCAATACAAAACACCTTCAAAAACAAATCAAAGTCAAAATTAGTAGAAGGAAAGAATAATAATGATTAGAGCAGAAATAAAAAAATAGAGACTAAAAAATACAAAAGTCCAATGAAACAAAAACATGACTTTTTGAAATGATAGAAAAATCAATTAAACATTCATTAGACTAACCAACAAATACAGAGCAAATACTCAAATGAACAAAATAAGATATTAAAAAGGAGGCATTAAAAGCAATATAATAGTGTATTAGGATTCTCTCGAGGGACAGAACTAATAGGATATATACATATATGAAAGGGAGTTTATTAAGGATAATTGACTCACAAGATCACAAGGTGAACTCCCATGATAGAACATCTGCAAGTTGAAGAGATAGGAAGC
Source organism: Homo sapiens (assembly GCF_000001405.40). Taxonomy (NCBI): domain Eukaryota; kingdom Metazoa; phylum Chordata; class Mammalia; order Primates; family Hominidae; genus Homo; species Homo sapiens. The sequence goes on from NC_000023.11 coordinate 145,572,449, forward strand.
CAGTAGTGGCTCAGCCCAAGTCCCAAAACCTCAAAAGTAGGGAAGCTGACAGTGCAGCCTTCAGTCTGTGGCTGAAGGCCTGAGAGCCCCTGGCAAACCACAGTTGTAAGTCCAAGAGTCAGAAAGCCGAAAAACTTGGAGTCTGATGTTTGAGGGCAGGATGCATCCAGCACGGGAGAAAGATGAAGGCTGGAAGACTCAGCAAGTCAGCTTCTTCCACCCTGCTTCTGCCTGCTTTTTCTAGCTGCATTGCAATGGTGCCCACCCACATTGTGGGTGGGACTTCATGAGAGTGGGTTTTCCTCTCCAAGTCCACTGACTTAAATGTTAATCTCTTCTGGCAACACCCAGAAACAATACTTTGCATCCTTCAATCCAATCAAGTTGACACTTAATATTAAGCATCACACACAGAAACACAAAAGAGCATCAGAGACTATCATGAACAGCTATACACTAACAAACTGGAAAACCTAGATAAAATGAATAAATTACTGAACACATAAAATCTAATCAAGATTGAACCCAGAAAAAAAAAGCTGAAAACCTGAACAGACCAGTAATGAATAATGAGACTGAATCAGGAATTCAAAAACATCCCCCAACAATGAAAAGCCTAGGAATGTGTGGCTTCACTGCCAAATTCTAACAAACTCATACAGAAGAGCTAACACCAGTTTTCCTCAAACTATTCCAAAAAAGGAAGAGCAATGAATTCTTCCTAATTCAGTCTATGAGGCTACCTGAACCCTGATACCACAATCAGACAAAGAAACAACAGATAAAACTAAGGGTTAATATCCTTGATGAACATAGATGCAAAAATAATCAACAAAATACTAAAGAAAACCCAACTGAACAGCACATCAGAAAGATCATTCACTATTATCAAGTGGGATTCATTCTAGGAATGCAAGGATGGCTTAACACACAGAAATTGATAATTGTGATAGATCATATCAATGTAATGATATGATGCATGTCAATGTAATGAACAAGACAAACCATAAAATCATATAAATAGATGCAGAAAAAGAATTTAATGAAATTTAATATCCCTTCATGAAGAAACCTCTAAACAAACTAGGCATAGAAGGAACATGCCTCAACATAAGAAAGTCCATTGATACAGTTTTTGTCCCCTCCAAATCTCATGTTGAAATGTGATCCCTAATGTTGAAGGTGGAGCCTAGTGGGAAGTGTTTGGGACTTGGGTGGGGATCCTTCATGAATGGCTTGATACCCTTCTTGTGGTAATAAGTTCTCACTCTATTATTTCATGCAAAAGCTAGTTGTTTAAAGGAGCTTGGCATCTCTCTTATCCCCTCTCTTGCCATGTGACATTCTGCTTCCCTTCACCTTCTGCCATGATTGTAAACTTCCTGAGGCCCTCACCAGAAGCAGGTGCTAGCACCATGCTTCCTGTACAGCCTGCAGATCCATGAGCCAAATAAACCTCTTTTCATTATAAATTATCCAACCTCAGGTCTTTCTTTATAGCAATGCAAAAGTGATTAACACAGAAAATTGGTACTAAGAAATGGGGCATTGCTATAAAAATACCCAAAAATGTGGAAACAGCTTTGGGACTGGGTAATGGCAAAAGTTGGAAGAGTTTGGAGGTCTCAGAGGAAGACAGGATGATGAGGGGAAATTTGAAACTTCTTAGAGACTGGTTAAGTGTTCATGAACACAGCGCCAATAGAAATATGGACAACAAAGGCCAGGCTGACAAGGTCTCATATGGAAATGATCTTATTGGGCACTGGAGCAAAGGTCATCTTTGTTACGGCTTAGCAAAGAACTTTGCTGCATTGTGCTCATGTCCCAGGGCTTGGCAGAAGGTTGAACTTAAAAGTGATCACTTAGGGTCTCACTAAGTCAGAGGAAAATTAATAAGCAGAGAAGCATTCAAGAGTTGGAATGGCTGCTTTTAACAACCTATGATCAGATACAGGAGCAAAGGAACGACTTAAAGTTGTACATTAGTCTGTTCTCACACTGCTATGAAGAACTACCTGAGACTGGGTGATTTATTTAAAAAAAAATAAGAAGTTTAATTGACTCATGGTTCCACAGGCTGTACAGGAAGCATGGCTGGGGAGGCCTCAGGAAACCCTCACTCATGGCAGAAGAAGAAGCAGGCATGTCTTACATGATCAGAGAAGGAGGAAGAGAGCAAAGCAGGAGGTGTTACACACTTTTAAACAACCAGATGTTGTGAGATCTCACTATCACGAGAACAGCAGGGGGGAAATCCACCCCCATGGTCCAATCTCCTCCCACCAAGCCACTCCACCAGCACTGGGGATTACAATTCGACTTGAGATTTAGGTAGGGACACAAATCCAAACCATATCAAGTTGGAACTTATATTTAAAAAGGAATCAGAGTGTAAAAATTGAGAAAATTTGCATGCTGGCCACAGGTAGAGAAGGAAACATCATTTTCAGGAAAGGAATTCTAGAGACTTGTGTAGCAACCACTTATTAGAGAGACTAACATGAATAAATGGGAGCCAAGTACTAATATCTAAGACAAAGTGGAAAAGCCCTCAAAAACATTTTAGAAATCTTTCAGGCTTCTCCTCCCATCAGAGGTTCAGAGGCCTTGTAGGAAAGAATGGTTTTGAAGGTGAGGCCCCAGGATGCCACTGTCCTGAGCCACCTCTGGAGGTTGCTCCCTGCATCCCTGCTGCCCCAGCTCTAGCTATGGCTCAAGGGGCCCCAGGTACAGATCAGGCTGCTGTTTTGGAGGGTGCAACCCATCGTCCTTGTCAGTTTCCACATAGTGGTAAGTCTGTAGGTGCAGAGAATGCAAGAGTGAAGGAGGTTTGGCAGCTTCCACATGGATTTCAGAGTATGTATGGGAAAGCCTGGGTGCTCAGGCAGAAGCCTGCTACATTAGCAGAGCCCTTGCAGAGAGGCTGTACTAGGGTAGCGCAAGGGGGAAATGTGGGCTTGGGGCCCCCACACGGAGTCACCACTGGGGCACTGCCTAATGGAGCAGTGGAAGAGGGGTTACTGTCCTCCAGATCCAAAAATAGTAGAGTCAGTGACAGCATGCACCCTCAGTCTGGAAAAGCTGTAGGCACTCAACTCCAGCCCATCAAAGCAGCCATGAGGGATGCACCCTGCAAATCCACAGGGGTGGCGATGCCTAAGGCCCTGAAAACACACACTTTGTACCACTGCCCTGGATGAAGAACATGGAGCCAAGAATTATTTTGGAGGTTTAAGGTTTAATTACTGCCCTGCTGGGTTTCAGACTTATGTCTGGCCTGTAGCCCCTTTCTTTCAGCTAATTTCTTCAGCAAAATAAGATGGGAATGGGAATTTATCAAAATTCCTAAAACTTTACAAAACGCCAGTAATTCAAAATGAAATATTTGCTTTTTCCATCTCCTCTCTTGAAACAACATGGTTGTGTATGCAAGTAAGTAATTAAAATAAGTTGCTACCCAGATCATTGAGTGTGTCATACTGTTAATATAAGGCAAGAGATTAAGGAGAAAAGAATTAGTTCTGATGAGCAAGTTGTATAAACTCATGTGTTGGACTGCCCCAATTCAGGTCCCAGTTTAGTCATTTCTTAGCTGTGTGACTTTAGGCAAGTTACTTCATTATGTCTCAATTTCCTCATTTGTAAAACAAGGAAAATAATGGTATCTAACTTATAAAGTGAGAGAGAGGATTAAATGATGGAATTTATGTAAAGCACTTAGTACAGTGCCTGGCATACAGTATAAATGCAATAAATGGTAGACATTACTATTATTATTTCCTGCAGGAGACACCTCACCATAAGCAAATAATTACTCATGTCGTAAGAGTTTTTACGACTCTTGCCGCTCTTTTGGCCCATGGCTGTTCACATTGAGGCTTAACTTGGAAAGGGAGGCCCATTTTAACTCTGCAATTCGACCTTCCCTGGTGTTAGCCCAATGACAGTGATGGCATTTTATACTTATGGAATAGCTATTTGTGTCAGTTTCAGTCTTCTTGATAGATTCCAACTGCTGCTTGGAACATATGTTGTTGTGGGTATTACAACAGGAAACCAGCAAGATCTATTTTGACACAAAGGTTAGGGAGCAGTGTGACTTTTTATTTGGCAATATAGTAATATTTTACCTTAACATTTTTACTTCTCTTATTGCCATAATATGTGAATAGTTCCATATAGATATAATGGAGTAGGGAAATAATTGTATAAATAGCTCTAAATCAAATCAACACATATTTACAAAACCTGTACTATACTAGGTACTGTTGAGAATACATACGTGTATAAGACATGGCCCTTTCCCCTAGGGAACTGATGATCTGGTTAAAGAGAGAATAAATATATGTATGCATAGAAATGTTATGTAACAAATACTGAAGTCTCAGTGTCAGTTGCAAAAATATAAACCATTCTAGCACAGAAGGAACACTTTTATCAGCCCTTAATGGAACTATGTGGCTAGAGGAGAGAAGGGGAAGTAATATTCAAGTACGGAGATATATAAGAATATACATATGAGCAAATAGGAAGTATAAGTTTAGCTGGATCTGGGATTTTCTTTGGGAGATATCTGGAATCTAAATCACAAATAGGTCTTAAGGGTAAGATTGTGAAGAACTTTGCAAGTCACAATAAGGAATGTGAATTTTGTTTCTATAACTGAAAGCCACTGAAGGCTTTGGAGAAAAAGATGAATAGGAGGAAAGTGAAAATTTAAGGAAAAAATGACTGGAACTCTGTTTGTAGGAAGAAAAGGCAAGAATCAGGCTTACCAGTGTGGACATTATAAAAGGAATCTGAGGCTAATCGATGAGAAGAAGAACAACAAGGTTGCAATGGAAGAATTAATAAGACGTCCTGACTGATTGGATGAGGGTGCCAAAGAAAACTATAAGACAAAATTCCTGATTATTTTCGAAGCTTGCCAAAGAAAAATATAAGACAAAATTCCTGATTATTTTCGAAGCTTGGAAACTCTTAAGAAGTTGCAAACAACTGTAGGAGTTAGAAAGTTTGAGCTGTTTTCAGTTTGTTTTGTTTATGAGTTTTCTCTTGTTTTTTGGAGGTCAAAAGTTGACTCGAAGTTATATTAGTTAGAGGCAATAATGTGTAGATAGAGTTCATGAAAAAGTAGAACTTAGAATTTGGAGAGTTATCCTTAAACGTAAGTATAATGGAACTAAGCAAGGAAGAAGAGTCTACAGATGAAGACCAAACCTGGAGTAGTATCCACATCTTAAAGAAGCTGGCAGAGGAGACAGCCATTGTCAGTTATCTTCTGTGGGTTAAAAAATGTGGGTTAGGAATATTCTCAGCCAATTTACCATTTCTTCCTGATTACCATGAAGCCCAAAATTCATTTGGTGCAAAAACAGAATAATTGACCAAATACATCCCCCTCTTTCCTAATGATTTCAGATTTCTTTTTTAGTTTTATTTTATTCCCCCTTCTTTTACTTATGCCTCTATATTTTAAGTCGATACAAACCTTTTATGATGATAGGCAGGATATAAATAACAGACCAAGAAAGACAGATGTCATAAAACCATGAGACGAGACAATTCAAAGAAGGTGGATTTATCTAACAGTTTCAAATGCTGTAGGAATACAGAGTAAGCACTGAAAGGCAGCCTTGTAGTTGGCAATTAGGAAACTGTGTGACTTCAGCAATAAATAAAATGTCGGAAAAATTTAGGGTTGGGATGGCATTGCCAAAGGAGAAGGGCAAAGCTTGTGCTAGGGAATAAAAAATTGGAATAAAACATTATACAAAATACCACAAATAAAAATATTTTGAGATTTCTACCTTAAAAATCAGGTTTTTATAACATCAAATACTCTCATTATCTTCCAGTACCATGAAGCAGGTATCTGGCTCCCTAGCTGCATTTGTGGCAAGGTATCCTATGAGGAAAGATTGAGAACTGGAGACACAGGAGGATAACCAACCTTTTCTATCTGCTGCATATGTTCTCAAGATAGGCCAAACAGGAAAGCTGGCAGTCACATACGGGGAAGACGCAAATGCACAGGTGGAAGCCTATCTAGAGGGAACGTGCATAGTTCTTCCAAACACTACTGACAGCAGCTTAACTGGAAACAGAGAATGGTATTAAAAACATAGGACTATACACGATAAATTGAACAACAAATCTTACTTTGTTTGTGCTTCAGTAATAATCATCAAACTTTTGATTATTTGTCCTTGGAATATCTGCACTTGTCAATTATTTCTTCCCAAGGACCTGTTTCAGTTCATCCTTTTCTTGAGTCCTCCCCTGATAATGATAACAATGACTCCCAACAACTCTATGATGATCACTGCCAACAATAATAATATTTACTGAGTACCTACTGTGTGCCAGATACCCTCAAAGTCACTACTTTTTTCCATTTTCATAACAAGCTCTTGAGGTTAGTACTATTTTTTCAATCCTGATGATAGAAATAGTGACATTCAGATGGGTGAACCACTTTGGAGCACAGCCACATTTACAACCCAGTTCTGTCTTTGACTTAAATCCGTTATATCACAATGAATCTCTTCTTCCAGAAGTCCTACAGTAAAACAGCTAGGTTTACACTGGCAATTGATTGTGTCTATCTCGTTCACTGTTGTGCTCTGAGTACAGAATCTAGTTTAACTGAGGTTTACTCTTTCAAGTGTGTTTATTTTCCTTAACTCAATTGTAAGTTTTTGCATTTCTTAAACTCCCTTCCCTTATTTATTTTAAAGACATTATCCTCTGAATTGTTTATACTCTTCCCCATATTTCTGTAGTTCATACTCCCCCATTCATCTCTATACCCACACGAACATATCTTTTCTATACATACAACACCTCTGCCATTCTGCACTCTGATATGTACTTCATGTCCCTGAGATTAGTTCACTTATGCATTTTCAGTCTCCTGGAGACCCTTTGATCCTGAGATTCGTCTCCTCTGTTTCCCTGGGTAAGCTAGTGTGATACCTTCATGGATTGTTCTCTTTTTGCCTGCCCTTAAAGTATTCATTTTCCAGGGTTTTATCTTGTTCTCACTACACCCTTTCTTGGGGCAGATTATTTTCTCTCATGGAGTCAGTGGCCATAATAAGCTGATGTCTCTCAAATCTACAGGTCTGGCATCAATAACTTACCTTTAGCTCCAAATTCTATTTGCCAAATCATTACTAGAAATTTCAACTTGTACATCTTGCAAGACTTCAAAGTAAATATATTACAAACTGAATTCATTAGCTTCCTCTACCATACTTGATCTGTTTCCTAGTTTTTCTAGTTCAGTGGATAAATTAACATCAACCCATTTGGCCAGGCCCAAATCTCACCTTCTCACTTCAATAAGATCTGGAACCTGCCTTCTTTCTAGCGTTATTGTTCTCTGATCACTCAGTACCACTTGATATTTATGTATTCATCCATAGGAGCATTTATCTATTCAACAAGTATCAACCGAATGCCTATTATATACCAGGCACTGCATCCAAATTGTATTACATTTTCCACCTTTTGATGCCTTTGTACATGCTTCATTTTATACCTGAAGTGCCCTTCAAGGTGTAGAGAAACGGAGAATAGTGATTCTATTTCAAAAATATGGAGGTTTTGAAGAGAGTCGGTTTAGAAGTGAGTTCAGGTGATATCTTCCATTTGGAATACAATGAATTTGATGTCTGAAATATCCTAAGACGTGATATCCTGCTGCTACTACATGACTCAGTTTTTACCAAAACAATTGAACCACCTTCTGTTTAGTTAAGATATTTCAGCCATCTCATCAACTACATGAGATGAATTCTGAATCCACAAAATGGAGATGTATCATAAATATTTGGCTTATATTCATTTTTACTTATCTCCTGTCATAAAAATTATTTCTAGTATTGAAAATACGATTACAAATATCTGCATAATTGTTGTAATAAGTATGTCATTGTTTTGTGTGCCAACACAGAATAGAAATAGTCGAAGAAGTGCCACGACTCTTGCTCTTATGGAATTTGTATCTGAAATTTTAAAGTTTGCATAGGGGAACTATTCTGGGTCACTGAACTCCTGGAGAATCTTATAAAAGTTATGGTTCTCCCTTTAAAAAAATTCACATTTCTATACAAACAAAATTGTAAACATAAATTTGAGGGAGATTTTGAGAACCCTGAAGTATATATATTGACTTTTTGACAGTCCATGGCCCTGAATTTGTCAACCTTAGGGAAGGGAAGTTAAATAATTCTATGTACCACCCAAAAAACCTTTGTAAGATTTTTCCCTTCCCGTAAAATAGCATATGACCCACTTTGAAAAGTGATTTTGATAATTTGAGGTAATGTATATAAAGTATTTCTTATGCTGTTGTTCATATAGCAATTTATATACCTCACACCCTTCAAACCTCTGGGGCTGCATCGTAACGCCTTCAAATGTCAATCTTAACTAAAGGATACTTATAATTATGCACTGTGTAAACTGCATAAGAACCGCATATTTTTAATAAATATATTTTTAAATTATACAACCAGTTCCTTCAAGAGAACAATCCTGGAAAAGATAAGTTACTTGTCGTCTGACGCAAACATAATTTTAACTATTTAGAACATCTCTTTACATATTGACTTCTTAAAATAATAAATCCCAAGTTTATTTATATTTTTCAGGTACACTGCGATGACAATACACACAAGATTAATTTTAATTTTGAAATGTATCCTTAAATATTACTTAGATTTACTTACAGAAACTTATTCTTTGTTCTATTTAAAAATATACCTTCACATGACATTGCGTAGTCGACTTTGTAAACTTAGAAACAACTTCTGGACAAAACAATTCAATAAGGGCCTGACCTGCTAACAAAAACATTGGTTTCCTTTTTTCCTCCACTGTAAGAGTCAGGAAAGCTTATCAAGTTATCTAAATGTAGTAACATAAATGACAACAGTAAATATCACAATTATCTTTGAAGAACCTTCACGTGTTTCCCTGTAAGGGAACAATATAGGGAAAGCTAGTGTCTTTTTGTCAAGGCCTAGGAACATCATGAAACTGCCTGATTCAGAGGAAACGTATGTCCTTTAGTGCTGAGGCAAACATAATATATTAATGACAGATTTTTACTTTGAATTTTCAGGGATTTTACAGTCCCAGTTAAAATAATATCTTGTTTATTCCATTCTCAATCTATCAGAATGTGTTATAAAACCATACATTTGATTTTCAGAAGATTATGTCTCACATTCAAATATTTCTCAGTTTTGTGTTGCGTGTATTTAAATTTATCTTAACTAGTTAACGTGTGTGTGTGTGTGTGTGTGTGTCTGTCTGTTTATAAGAAGAGTTTTTTGGTGGCAGTATTGCATTTTATTATCAGCATGAAAATATAATATCTATGCCATGTATTCTCTGTAAAATACCAACAGTGAAATCTTTTTAACATTAAATGTAGATGGTGAGAACCCAGTGGTGGCGTCCGAATTTTTTACTATGTAGCCAGGAGCTCAAGGCATCTAAAATTAGCCATTTTGAATGGCAAAATAGTTAACTCTAGTAGACTTAGTATAAGCTCAGGGAATTATTTAAACCTCTTTTTTTCTCTCCCTCAGAAATAGATTCATCTTCTTTCTCAGTTATTGGAGATTAGAAATATAAATAGTGACGCTATCGCATTGTAGATTTCTCAGAACTATATTATGCCAGTATTCTTGGTGAAACTCCTACTCATTTGTGACAAATGACTTGTTTAATGTATTTATAAATTTTATTTGCATAACTGGTGTATCCCTAAGGTCACATTTGATAATATTTGAAACGAGGTCTGTTATAACCCACACTTTGTTGACTCATCCAACCTACTACTACAGCATTTCCAGCTCACTGCAATATCTCTTCCCACTAATTGAGTGCTTCCCCAAAGGTTGCACGTTTTTTTGTTTGCTTGTTTTGTTTTTGCTTTTGTTTTGAGACAGAGTCTCGTACTGTCGCCCAGGCTGGTGTGCAGTGGTCACTGCAACCTCCGCCACCCATGTTCAAGCAATTCTCCTGCCTCAGCCCCCCGAGTAGCTAGGATTATAGGCACCTGCCACCACACCCGGCTAATTTTTTGTATTTTTAGTAGAGACGGGGTTCCACTACGTTGGCCAGGCTGCCTTGAACTCCTGACCTTGTGTTCCGCCCGCCTCGGCCTCCCAAAGTGCTAGGATTACAGGCATGAGCCACCACGCCTGGCCACGTTTTTTCAAAGACTATCATTTTTTCTAAGACTATTGCCATAGACCTTGCTTAGTTCTGAAATCCCAATGTTCAGTTTTAAATATACATGTAAATATCTTTCTATAGGGTACACACTTATAGCTAGGTATTTTAGGATTCTCTCAAAGCCTGATGTCCCTATAATTGACTCAGACTTCCCACAGAGAATCTCTGGGCCATCAAAATGAGATAGAGTCAATCTTTCTCATCACTATGATCCATAGCAATATACCAGCAGTATGTGAAGGTTTGGTATAAATTAAGTACCAAAATAAATGTCACATTAATAATAGGAATGATAACCAGCATTTATTGGCTTTTTTTCTATGTGCCAAATAAGGAAAAGAACACACAGAAAGATTAGACAGTATCTGTGGTTGGTTTTTTTGGAAGCAGTGCTTGAAACAGGGATTCAGGTGGCAAAACCTGTATGAGAGGGATGATGGGAAAGAGCAGAGGAAGTATGTGGTCTCAGGTAAAGTTCAGCTTTGGTTTGATCCATGTGGCACTGGGGACAGCATAGGCTCTGCAGCATAAGTCAAACTAAAGAGTTATTTTGCCTCGTGACAAGAGGCCCACAAGGCTTTTGTAGCCCATTCACCCTAACTCTTGGTTAACTTGCCACCCTCAGAGGTGGAAGGTTAACCTCCCAGGCATCTCTTGGTCAGATATACTTTATCAGCCAAGAGGATTCTCATGAGAAGTTTGAATGTGTAAGTCATTTATCCCAGCTCTCACAAGGCTCAGGGACAGGGAAGCTGTCCTGTTAAGGGAAGCTGACTAGGATACTGCCAGTGTGCATTACAGGTAAAATTATCTGTTGTGGGTTGAATTGTGTCCCCCTCCACCCCCTATTATTCATGTTTTAGTCCTACCCCTAGTACCAAAATGTGACCCTATTTGGAGATAGGGTAATCACCGAGGTAATTTAGTTAAAATGAGGTCACTAGAGTAGGCTCTAATGAAACACGGAAAAGCTTGAATTTGAATACAGACATGAAGACACGGGGAGAAGACAGCCATCTACATGCCAAGGAGAGAGGACTGGAACAGGAACTCCCCTCCCAGCCCTCAGAAAGACCGACCCCACTGACATCTTGGTTTTGAACTTTTGGCTGCCAGAACTATGAGAAAATAAATTTTTGTTGTTTAAGCCACCCAGTCCGTGGTACCTTGTATGGCAATCCTAGAAAACTAATATATTGCCTGGCACTAAGTGGCAGAAATGAGGATTAGAACCCTTAGTGTGTTGAAATACTCATTCTGAGACAAAGAGAATCTGTATACTTAAAGCTGTATCCCAGTACACAGTAGAGAGGAGTCGAGGGGCAGGGACCTAACAGTGATGCTTTAGTGAAAAACATCTGAACTGCAAGTCCTTCACAGCCTGACACAACACTGCTCTCAACCAAACACCAATCTTCCATCAGTCCCCACTCTTTCCATCATCCTCCAGTCCCTGCCTGGGGCTCTCAAGTCCCAGAGTATATTGGCCTCTGGCCTTCTCTCATTCAATCTCTTTTCTTCAGGAGCTTAGTTAGCCTAACATACTTTTTCCAGCCTCTTCTCTCCCTGCCTTCTGAGTTCATGCACATCCTGACCACTTGCAACTCTCTGATGTGCCATGGCCATCTGACTCCTGGGCTTTTACCCATACAAACGCTGTGGCTTACAGCAGTGCTCCCAGCTGCCCCTAATAGCAATGTCAAGTGCTGCAGAGCCCATTCATCTGTGATGGCCTGAAGCAACCACAGATCCAATGTTGTTTTCTGCCCAGTAACCTAAACTTATCCTTTAAGACAAGCTCAGAGGTCTTCTCTACTCTCTTTTTCTACAATGCCCCCAAGCAAAGTTAGTCTCTCCCATTTATATTTGTATTATGTAATTCTTTTCCCATGGCACATTGATACATCAATTCAGTCAGGTTTCAGATTTACACAAAAGTCGGGTTCAAATATTAGGTCTGCTATGTACATGTAATATATATATATACGCATATATATATGTATATATATATGCGTATATATATAAACTTTATATTTTTAATTTGGCAAGTTTCTTAACTCCTGTAAGCCTCAATTTTCTTGACTACAAAATTGGGATAATGAGAGTTGCCACCCTATATGGTTGACTGAGGAACGAAATACGAGTAAAGTTTTAAAACAATATTTGGCACATAGGTAGTATTCAATAAATGGTTCCTAATATCATTATTACTTTTTAAGCTTAATTTTTGCATTCAAGATGTATAAAATACCTGCTTCTTTTCTACATTTCTCTCTTCCACTGGGTGTTTAGGTTCCTGACAGCATGGACTCTGATTCTCTAGCAAAGCAAAGCACAGAATGCATATGCTAACCAGGTGACATAAATACCCAACATAGTGCTCCAAAGGTAATGTACAAACTGAAATATAAAAAAAGGCTTAGCTTTTATACCCACCTACATGGAGAGAGAGAGATACTGACATTTTAAAGCCCAGAAACCTCTTCAATACTCTGGTACTCACATACAAAAAAATTGCAAATTAGAATATATCAAAATAAAATGATGAAAATTAGTTTAAATTTTATTTTTCTGGATCATAATTGAATGCAATGATGAAAAGAACTCTAGACTCCTGATAATCATGCCAATGTACCGTTAACAATATTCTGTTTAGTCAGGAGGATACTGGGAACAGGTGTTACACATGAAAGCGCACAGTTAAACTCAAGTGCTATGATTTTTGTGGCTGACAACATACCTCTTAAGCCTTGTTCAAAACTAAGAGTAACCACAACAAGGGTCTGTAGAATTCACATCTGCTATCACTAATGGTTTCTTTAAAGCTGTGGCAAAACCCACCCATTTAGTACAAAACAATTTTGCAAAGTGTATATATGATGTATTAAGTACAGAAGAATAAAATTAAATAAGCCCCAAGCCAAAAAAAGAAATATTTCCTATCTAATACATGTACACAGTAGGTGGAGACTTTAATAATGCTCAAAAAATTTAAAAATGCATTTACAGATTGTTAGATCTAGAATTGGTCCTTGTGTTTTTTTCATTACATTTTTTTCTACCTCCTAGAACAGTGATATGAGAGCTTCAGAGCCATTATTCTGTTCTGCCATATTACTGACTAAAAAAATTATTTTAAATCAATTCATCTTTTGTTTACATCTTTTCATGTACCTATTGGCCATTTGTATACCTTCCTTGAAAAAATGTCCATTTAAGTCCTTTGTCCATTTTTTGTTTGTTTTCGAGACAGGATCTTGCTCTGTCACCCAGGCTGGTGTGCAGTGGCATGATCTCGGCTCACTGCAACCTCCACCTCTTGGGCTCAAGTGATCCTCCCACCTCAGCCTCCTGAGTAGCTGGGATTACAGACGTGCACCACCACACCCAGCTAATTTTTGTATTTTTAGTAAAGATAGGGTTTTGCCACATTGGTCAGGCTAGTCTCTAACTCCCGACCTCAGGTGATCTGCCCAGCTTGGCCTCCCAAAATGCTGGGATTACAGACATGAGCCACTGCCAGTGGACAATTAATCATTTAAATAATTCATCTTCTCAAATGATTCATCATTTTGACCAAGTTCTTCCCTAATAATTCATTTTTAAACCATATAATTTCAGAAAATTCAGCTAGAATATCTGACTTCTACTGTTACTGCTGTGAAAACAAAACAAAACTTGCAACCTCTGTCTTTGTCACAGTGATGCCTCCATGTTTTGATCAAGCTTTTCCACGACTATACCTAAAAGTCAATCACCACTCACATACCTTGCAGGGTCCTACATTTTACAGCTGGACATAAAACAATTCTTAGCAAATTAAAAGAAACTGAAATCATACCAACTACATTCCTGGACCACAGTTCAATAAATACGGAAGTCAATACTAAGGAGAGTTCTCAAAACCACACAATTTTATGGAAATTTAAAAACCTGCTCCTGAATGACTTTTGGGTAGACAATTAAATAGAGGTAGAAATCAAGAAATTCTTTGAAACTAATGAAAACAATGATACAATATACCAGAATCTCTGGGACACAACTAAAGCAGTGTTAAGACAAAAGTATGTAGTGCTAAAGGCACACATCAGGAAGTTAGAAAGATCTCAAATTAACAACCTAATATCACACCTAGAGGAACTAGAAAAACAAGGGTAAAACAACCTCAAAACTAACAGAAGAAAAGAGCCAAAATCAGAGCTAGACAAAACAAAATTGAGACATGAGAAATCATACAAAAGATCAACAAAACCAAAAGTCAGTTATTTGAAAGAATAAATAAGATGGATATACTGCTAGCTAGACCAAAAGAAGAGAAAAGAAACAAATAAACACACTTAGAAATGACAGAGGGGACATTACCACCAGTTGCACAGAAATATAAAAATCCTTCAGATACTATTACAAACACTCTATGCACAAAAAGTAGAAAACTTGGAAGACATGGATAAATACCTGGAAACATACACCGCCCCCTCAAAGACTGCAAAAGGAAGAAATGGAAACCCTGAATGGAAGAATAATGAGATCTAAAATTAAGTAATAAAAAGCCCACCAACCAGAAAAAGCCCTGGACCAGGTGGATTCACAGCCAAAATGTAGCAGATGTATAAAAAGAGCTGGTACCAATCCTACTAAAACTATTGCAAAAAAAAAAATTAAGGAGGATGGGACTCCTCCCTAACTCATTCTATGAGGCCAGCATCATCCTGATACTAATACCTGAGAGAGACACCACAAAACGAAAAACTTTAGGCCAATATTCCTGATGAACATAAATTCAAAAATCCTCAACAAAATACTAGCAAGCAAAATTCAACAGCAGATCCAAAAGCTAATCCACCATGATCAAGTAGATAAAATGGTAAGAGCCATCAATGACACCCACAGTCAACATCATACTGATTTGGCAAAAGCTAGAAGCATTCCCCTTGAAACCCAGAACAGGACAAGGATACCCACTATCACCACTCCTATTCAACTTAGTACTGGAATTCATCACCAATGCAATCAGGCAGGAGAAAAAAATAAAAGGCATCCCAATAGGAAGAGAAGAAGTCATACTATCTCTCCTCACAATGGTATCATTTTATATCTGAAAAACCCCATAGTCTCTTCCCAAAGGCTTCTAGATATGATAACTTCAGCAAAGGTTCAAGACTCAAAATCATTGTACAAAAATCAGTACACTGATTCAACGTGAGGCTTAATGTTAAGACTTAAACGTAAGGCCTAAAACCGTAAAAACCCTAGAAGAAAACCTAGGCAATACCATTCAGGACATAGGCATGGGCAAAGACTTCATGACTAAAATACCAAAAGCAATGGCAACAAAAGCAAAAATGGACAAATGGGATCTAATTAAACTAAAGAAAAGCAATATTAAGAGGAATGTATACAGCAATAAACACCTATATAAAAAAATAAAGATTTCAAATTTAAAAAGTAATGATACACCCCCCAAAAAAAACAGAAAAGCAAGAATAAACCAAACCCAAAATTTAAAAAGGGAAAGAAAATATAAAGATCAGAGTAGAAATAAATGAAATGCAGACAGAAAAATACAAAATATTTATTAAAAACTGAAAACTAAAACTGGACCCCTTCCTTACGCCTTATACAAAAAGTAACTGAAAATGGATTAAAGACTTAAACATAAAACTCCAAACTCTGGAAAAAAAAAAAACCGTAGAAGAAAATCTAGGCAATACCATTTAGGACATAGGCATGGGCAATGATTTCATGACAAAAATGCCAAAAGCAATTGCAACAAAAGCAAAAATTGACTAATGGGATCTAATTAAACTAAATAGTTTCTGCACAGCAAGAAAAACTATCATCTAAGTGAATAGACAAACTACAGAATGGGAGAAAATTTTTGCCATCTATCCATCTGACAAAAGTCTAATATCCAGAGTCTATAAGGAACTTAAACAAATTTACAAGAAAAAAACAAACAACTCCATTAAAAGTGGGCAAAGGACATGAACAGACACTTCTCAAAAGAAGACATTCATGTGGCCAACAGACATATGAAAATAACTCAACATAACTGATCATTAGAAAAATGCAAATCAAAACCACACTGAGATACCCTCTAACACCAGTCAGAACCGCAATTATTAAAAAGTCAAGAAACAACAGATGCTGGCGAGGTTGCGGAGAAAAAGGAACACTTTTACACTTTTGTGAGAGTGTAAATTAGTTGAACCATTGTGAAAGACAGTGTGGAGATTCCTCAAAGATCTAGAAGCAGAAATACCATTTGATCCAGCAATCTCATTATTGGGTATATACCCAAAGGAACACAAAGCATTCTATTTTAAAGATCACGTATGTGTTCTGTTCACTGAAGCACTATTCACAATAACAAAGACATGGAATCAACCCAAATGTCCATCAATAATAGACTGTATAAAGAAAATGTAGTACATATACACCATGCAATACTATGTAGCCATAAAAACAAATGAGAACATGCCTTTTTCAGGGACATGAATGGACCTGGAAGCTGTTATCCTCAGGAGACTAATGCAGGAACAGAAAACCAGACATCGCATGTTCTTAACTTATAAGTGGGAGCTGAATGATAAGAACACATGGTGGGGAACACACACTGGGGTCTGTTGGGGGAATGCAGGGGGAGGGAGAGCATCAGGAAAAATAGCTAATGGATGCTAGGCTTAATACCTAGGTGATGGTTGATCTGTACAACAAACCACCACGGCACACTTTTACCTATGTAACAAACCTGCATATCCTTCACATGTACCCTGGAACTTAAAATAAAAATTGAAGAAAAAAAAAAAGAAAAAAGAAACAAAATTTATACCAACAGTGAACAATTTGAAAAAGAAATCAAGAAAGCAATCCCATTTACAATAGCTACAAAAAATTACCTAGAAATAAATTTAACCAAAGAGATGAAAGATCTGTATAAGAAAACTATAAAATACTGATTACAAAAATGAAAAGGATGCAAAAATATAGAAGGACATCCCATGTTCATAGATTGGAAGAATTCATATTGCTAGAATAAGCATATCACCCAAAATGATCTATGGATTCAAAGCAATCTTTATCAAAATACCAATGGCATTCTTCACAGAAATAGAAAATAAAGTCCTAAAATTTGTATGGGACCATGAATGACCCTGAATAGCCAAAACGGTCTTGAGCAAAAAGAACAAAACTGGACACATAAACCACTATTTAACTTCAAAATCTACTACAAAGCTATAGTACCCCAAATAGCATACTACTTGTATTAAAAAACAGTTACATAAACCTATGGAACAGAGTATCGAACCCAGAAACAAATCTACATATTTACAGCTATCAGATTTCAGACAATGGCACCAAGAACATTCGTTAGGTAAAGGACAATCTCTTCAATAAATGGTACTGGAAAAACTGGATATCCATACACAGAAGAATGAAGCTAGACCTCTGTCTCTTACCATATATAAAAATAAACTCAAAATGGAATAAAGATGTAAAGGTAAGACCTGAAATTATGAAACTACTGGAAGACAACATGGGGAAATGCTTCAAGACATTGGTCTAGGCAAAGTTTTTATGAATACAACATCAAAAACACAGGCAACAAAAGACTTTATTTCTTTAGGTTATACATCCAGTAGTGGAATTGTTGGATAATGTGATAGTGCTATTTTAATATTTTGTGGAAATTTGGTACTATTTTCCACAATAGCTGTACTAATTTACATTTCCACCAACAGTGTGCAAGGGTTCCCTTTTATGCACATCTTAACTGACATATTTAATCTTTTATCTTTTTGATAATAGCCATTGTAATAGGTATGGGGTGATTCAGTGAATTTGAGCTTTTTTTTTTTTTTTTTGAGATGGAGTCTCACTCTGTTGCCCAGGCTACAGTGCAGTGGCGCATCTCGGCTCACTGCAAGCTCCTTCTCCCGGGTTCACACCATTCTCCTGCCACAGCCTCCGGAGTAGGTGGGACTACAGGCACCCACCACCATGCCCAGCTAATTTTTTGTATTTTTTGTAGAGATGGGGTTTCACCGTGTGAGCCAGGATGGTCTTGATCTCCTGACCGCGTGATCCGCCCACCTCGGCCTTCTTAAGTGCTGGGATTACAGGCGTGACCGACCGCGCCCGGCCGAGCATTTTTTTTTTTAATATACCTCTGGCCATTTGTGATTTGTACACATTACATGAATGAACTCTATGTTTTGTGAGTTATGTTTCTATAAAGTTGTTACTAAAAAGGAAAAAAAGAAAAACGTAGCATTCCCTCCTGGAGATAAGACCAGATCCTTTCTTATCTTCTTTTTTCCAAGTGCTTTATTAATTTATTTTTCTAATTTAATTTTTCATTTATAAAGGACATATAATAATGTACATATTTGTAGGGTACAGTGTGATGTTTTGATGCATGTATACATAGTATAGTAATGAAATGGGGTAATTAATATATCAATCACTGTAAGCATTTATCATTTCTTTGTGGTAAGATTGTTCAAATTCTTCTCTTCTAGCTATCTTGAAATCTACGTGACATTGTTATTTGCCATAGTCACCTACTATGTAATAGAGCACTAGAAATTATTGTTCCTGTTTCATGTTTATGCCTATTTTATCATGGCTTATTTTTCATTCTCCAGCACCTTTTGGATTTAAGGACTACATGTGGTTCTTTTATGCCCCATTTCTCCATGATGCAATGACGTTTTGCCACACAAAAAACTCATGTTATTAAAAAAAAGAATGCATTTTAGCAGGGCATATCTTGATGAAAACAGATCCTTCATATTAACATGATTCCTATAATCTCTTGCAAGGCTGTTTTCTGCCTTTGAGGACCTTTCATAAGCAGAGGTGACAATTCCCCACAGTGGCTGCTTTGGCCATACATTTAAAAATGTCATATGTACACATAAAGAGGGGAGGGGTTGCTTCATATATACAAATGTGAGTTTCAGCTGCAGCTTAGCCCACACAATGGCTACTGCTGTCAGTGGTGGCTGGCCACCATATTGGTATGCAGGAGCACTTGATGCTAACATAGTATAGTGTAGAGCATGCTGATTCTGGCCTAGTGAAAGCAAAAGGGACATTAATTCTCTTTATATGGATATTTTTATTTAAGATGGATCACTATATAGAACATGCTTTCCCTCAAAGATTCTAAAATCTTTAATGTATGATGAATTTTATATAATCTATTGTGTCTATAGATCATGAATTAGAAAGTAACATTTTTATACGCCTGGCTAGACGAATGAAGAGAAAACTGATATAAAAAATATCACAATAAATTTTCTGCGAGCACTGATATAAATTGCATTTGGTTATGTTTTTCTGATTGCATTGTCACATCTGAAATTTCTCAGCAGATATGCCTGCACTTCCACGTGAAAAGGCAAATCCAATTGATTGTCTAAAATACCTTAATGTTTAATTCAATTGTTATTTAAAATGAGCAGAGATAGAAGGAATAGGATTGAAAATAGACATGTTCATGTCATCTCTCCAGGGCACTCATTTTTCTGAATTCTCTTCGTAATATATTAAATACTAAAATGACTTTCTGCATTTACATTACTGGTAAAATCTTATCTTCTCCGATTCAGTGGAGTCATGTATAACGTTTAGCTTATTCTTGATTTTTAGCTATTAGGAAGTGTGTAAGATAGTAATATAAACTGAAAAAAATAACCTAGTCCTCATATAAGATTTTTTTTAAAAAAAAAGAGCCCTTAAATGCACATATTTCGTTTGCTTCTGAGAGCCATATCAAAGAGTCACGAGCGTTGGGACCTGACCGAGCTCAGGGACAAACTATCTTATGAATCAATGGTCATTTAGCAAAGGGATTTCAAGGTTCCTTCTTTATCTGCTGAAGCTACAGGATTCATGGACAGTACTTTATGGCAAAGTAAGCTCATAAGATTGTGTGTTTACATCACTTTGGGAATTAAAGCACATCATGGTAGGCCCTACACAGCAGAAATTAACATGATACAGATCATCACCCCTCCTCCTATGCAATCCAGTGAGAATAAAACCAATGTGGTATGTAAAATCACAGCACAAGATACAGTTAAACAAACACTACCACAGAAGTATAAGGAAAATACTGACTACTGTAACTGCTTACCAGAATACAGAAACTGAATGAATGTGATAATTCTTCTTGTTGTTTTTCTTGTTAAGTGTTTATTATTTTCCTATCTCCGAGATTGGGAGTACCCCAAACCGGAATTTCCTGTCAGTTGGAAACACTGTGATACACGAGCGGCAGGATATTTTTTAATGTGACTAGAGCAGCAAACACCCAGGAGCCATCCCTGTATATGAGAAGTAATAGTAAAAGGGATTTCAAATCTAAACATGCAAAGCAAAACTCATAGAGTAGGAGCACCATAGAGATTTTGATGAAGGGCAAAGACTAGAGTCAGACTTCTTGAATTTAATTCCTGGTTTTTCCTTACTAGCTAAATGACCTCGGGCAAGTTAATGAACCTTTCTCTGCCTCCCTTTTACTATCTGTAAAATGGGGGAAATAGTAGCACTTATTAGAATTAAGTGAATTAATCCGGGGAAAGTAATTTTTAAAATATTTAGCACATACTAAACACTCAATAATCTCAGCTATTATCATTACTAACGTTAAAGACATAGACTATCATATTTTAATGCATAACCACTCAAATGTCTATATCCAGTCAAAAGATTACCTTAAAGAAACACTTGTTCTGGACTACTAGTTCCAAAATGGCTGCATAGTAACAAGCTGGCTTCACTCCCCACCATCAGCAGAAAACCAAAACCAAATATACAGAACTGAGGTTATTGCCAGCAGTATCTCAGAACTCAAACGTCAGGAAGAGATAGTTTCTAGGGCCACAGAGAAATGAAAAAAAACTCAGAGACGTTGCCAAGAGAATCAGACTTCCACATTCATGATGCCCCTCCCCTCATTCTGCCTGGCACCAAGCATGCGGAAAATTTTCCCCCAACTCAAACTTTCTATGCTAGAAAAATGAGGTTGAAGTGGACAACCAGCTTCTCTACCATTCTGGGTTCCCCGGAAGGGGACCTGTCCTTGCTTTCATCCATGCGAGGCATCAAGAGTGACTGAAAGGAGTAATATCCCTGAAGAAAGGCAGAAACAAATGGAGAGTCAGGACTATTATCCCCAACCCTATGAACACTGTTCTGTAACTCAGGCAAAGGAGACACCAAATCAAAGTGGCTGTTCAGCAGCAGCATGCTATAGGAGATGTGTTCCACAGGTCTCCTGGGAGTGAACCCCTAGCCAGCCTTCCCACACTGCCAGGACATTTCCTTTGGGACCTCCCCCATTTAGGATGGGCAGCACTCTGATCATTTACCAGAGCTGAGACAAACCTGGGATAAGCAGATATATCCAATAAGCCCTCAAAAAGTAAGTCTGAGAAGACTGGAATGTATAACTAATCCTTCAATGCAAAGATATAGATGTACATCCACAAGAAAAACAGCAGAGAACCATGATGTCGCCAAATAGACAAAGCAAGGAACCAATGAATTACCCAAATGAGGCATGGTACCTGAGCTCTGTGACCAATAATTCAAAATAGCAGTTTTAAAGAAACTTAGTGATCTCCAACATCACACAGAAACACAATTCAGAAATTTATCAAAGAAATTTAACAAAGAGTTTGAAATAGTTTTTAAAAATCAGACAGAAATCTTGGAACTAAGAATTATATTTGCTGACCTAAAAAATTCATTGGATTCTCTCAAAAACAGACAGGATGAAACAGAGGTAACAACTAGTGAACTATTTGAAATAACATAGTCAGAGGAAAAAAAAATGAAAAGGAAAGAAGGTTGCGTACAAGATATAGAAAGTTACCTCAAAAGGCCAAACCTAAGAATTATTGATGTTCAAGAGGGAGTTGAGCAAGAGCAAGTGGTAGAAAGCTTATTCGATGAAATAATTGCAGAAAACATTTCAAAACTAGAGAAAGATATAAATATCTAGGTACAGAAATATCAGAGACCACCAAACAGATTCAACCAGAATAAGACTACCTGAAGGCATATAATCACCACACTCTCAGATGTCAAAGACCAAAAGAGAGCATCCTACAAGCATAAAGAGAAAATAAGTGATTAACAAATAAAGGAGCTCCTATTCATCTGGCAACAGACTTCTCAATGGAAACCATGTTGGCTATGGATGGAGAAAAATGACACTTTCAAATTGCTAAACAAAAAAAAAACTGACATTCAAGAATAATTTATCCAGCAAAGCTATCCCACAAATATGAAGGAGAAATAAATTTTTTTCTAGACAAATAAAAACTAACAGACTTTATCACCACTAGAGCCATCTTCCAAGAAATTCTAAAGGGAGTTCCACAATCTGAAAGGAAAAAAAAACACTAATGTACAAAAAGAAAACATTTGAAGGTATAAAACCCACAGGTAAAATTACATACAAAGACAGTCCCAGAATATTCTAATACTGTAATTGTAGTGTGCAATCCACTTACAACTCTGGTATTAAGCCAAAAAGATAAACATATTGAAAACAATAATAGTTACACTAGCCTATTAAGAGATAGGCAATATAAAAATATGTAAATTAAGACAACCAAAAGTCACAATGCCGGCGTGGATGGAGTTAAAATGTAGAAATATTTTTAGTTCTTTCTCTTTTGTTTTCTTTTTTCTGATCTAAAATAAGGTGTCATCTCTTTAAATTAACTTGTCATTTGAATAAGATGTTTTCATCAAGCTTCATGGTAATCACAATTCAAAACCTATAATAAATACACTAAAAATGAAAAGCAATGAATTAAGACATGTCACCAAGGAAAATCACTTCATCATAAAGAATGACAGCAAGAAAGAAAGAAGAGAGAAGTTTCAAAACAAACAGAAAACAAGCAACAAAATACCAGTAGTAAGCCCTTTTTAAAAATCAATATTAACACTGAATGTAAATAGGCTCCATTCTCTGACTGAGAGTGGCCAAATGGATAAAGAAACATGACCCAACTATATGCCACCTACAAGGTACCCACCTCAACTACAAATATATGCATAGACTGAAAGTGAAGGAAAAATATAGTTCATGCAAGTGGAAGCCAGAAAAGAGCAAAAAGAGTTATATCTGATAAAAGAGAATACTAGTCAAAGCCTGTAAAAACAAAAAAGACAGAAACCATTACTATATGATAAAAGGATCAATTCAGCAAGAGGATATACAAATTATAAATATTCACCCAACACTGGAGCACCTAAGTATATAAAACAAACATTAATAGATCCAAAGAAAGACATAGATGACAATAATATAATAGTAGATTTCAATGCTCCAATCTCAGTAATAGACAGATCATCTAGACAGAAAATCAACAAAGAAACATCAGAGTTAAACTGCACGCTACAACAAATAGCTTTAACTAACATTTTTAGAACATGTTACCCAACCACCGCAAAATACACATTCTTTTAGTAGAAGATAAAATATTCTCCAGAATAGACCATACTTTAAGACACAAAACAGGTTTCAACAAATTGTGAAATAAAACCAAACACAATTAATAGAAAGAAAGAAATAATAAAGATTGGAGTAGAGCAGAAATTTTAAAAATTGAGAATTAAAAAATACAGGAAAATGAAACGAAAAGTTGATTCTTGAAAAGGTGAACAAAATGGACAAACCTTTACCTAGACAAAGAAGAAAGAAGACCCAAATAAATAAAACCAGAAATGAAAAAGGAGACTTAACAACAGTGACCACAGAAATACAAAGAATTGTTATAGACTACTACAAACAACTATATGCCAACATATCAGAAAACCTGAAAAAAATTGGGTAAATTCCTGGACACATACAAAATACCAAGATTGAACCATGAAGAAATAGGAAACCTCAACAAATTAATAACAGGTAATGAGATCAAAGACATAACAAAAAGTGTCTCATTGAAGAAAAGCCTGAGACCCAATGGTTTTGCTGCTCAATAATATTAAATATTTAAACAATAACTAATACCAATTCTACTTAAACTCCTCAAAAATATTGAGATGGGAATTCCTCCAAACTCATTCTATGCTACCAGCATTATACTGATACCAAAACTAGGCAATGACACAACAAAAAAAGAATACTGGCCGATATCCCTGATGAAGACAGATGCAAAAATCCTCAGGAAAATACTAGCAAAGATGATTCAACAACAATTCTTAAACGTTCATTCATCAAGGTCAAGTGGAATTTATCCCAGTATACAAGCATGGTTCAAGATATGCAATTCAAAAAACATGAGACATCACATTAAGAAAAATAAGAGCAAAAACCATATAATCATTTTAACAGATGTTAAAAACCCTAATCAAACTGGGTATAGAAGGAAAATACAACAAAATAGAGGCCATATATGACAGACCCACAGCCAACATTATACTGAAAAGAGAAGAAATGAAAGCCTTTCCTGCATAATCTGAAGCATGACAGGGATGTCTACTTTCACAACATTTATTCAACATAATACTGGAAGTCCTGGCCAGAGTAATTAGGCAAGAAAAGGAAATACAAGGCATACAAATGGGAAGGGGAGAAGTCAAGTTAGCCTCGTATGCAGACAACATGATCTCATATTTAGAAAAACCTAAACGCTCCACCACAAAGCTATTAGAGCTAATAAATGAATGCAGTAAATTTGCAGGATTCAAAACCAACATACAGTTCATCAACACAGAGGGCCAA
This sequence comes from Homo sapiens, assembly GCF_000001405.40. Classification (NCBI taxonomy): domain Eukaryota; kingdom Metazoa; phylum Chordata; class Mammalia; order Primates; family Hominidae; genus Homo; species Homo sapiens. Next base: position 145,597,464 of record NC_000023.11, read on the forward strand.
GGTAGCTGACTAGAAGCAGCTAGTGTGTGCCACTCTCATGGACAGAAGAATGAGTATTGAAAAATAATAGGTCTTCTTCTGCTCAGTAAAATAAATTATCATCAGAGTCAAGAGATAACCTACAAAAAGGGAGAAAATTTTTTCAATCTGTCCATTTCACAAAGGTCTAATATCCAGAGTCTACAAGGAACTTAAACATATTTACAAAAAAAAATTAAAAAGTGGGCAAAGGATATGAACAGATATTTTTTGAAAGTCGACTTTCATGCAGCCAATAAACATTTTTTAGAAAGCTCAACATCACTGATCATTTGAGAAATGCAAATCAAAATCACATTGAGATTCCAGCTAACACCAGCCAGAATGGCAATTATTAAAAAGTCAAGAAACGACAGATGCTGATGAGGTTGCAGAGAAAAAGGAATGCTTTACACTGTTTGTGTTTGTAAATAAGTTCAACCATTGTGGAAGACAGTGTGGTGATTCCTCAAAGATCTAGAGGCAGAAATTTCATTTGACCCAGCAATCTCATTACCAAGTATATACCCAAAGGGATATAAGACATTCTATTATAAAGATACATACATGCGTTCTGTTCATTGAAGCACTGTTCACAGTAGCAAAGACTTGGAATCAACCTAAATGCCCATCATTGATAGACTGTATGAAGAAAATGTGGTACACATACACCATGGAATATTATGCAGCCATAAAAAGGAACAAGAACATGTCCTTTGCAGGGACATGGATGGAGCTGGAAGCCATTATCCTTGGCAAACTAACACAGGAACATGGTGGAAAACAACACACACTGGGTCCTGTCATGGTGTGGGTGGAGGGAGAGCATCAGGAAGTATGGCTAATGAATGCTGGTTTTAATACCTAGGTAATGGGCTGATCTGCGCAGCAAACTACCATGGCTCACTTTTACCTACGTAACAAACCTGCACATTATGCACATGTGCCCCAGAACTTAAAAGTTAATAAATAAATAAATACTCTTCAAATGAAACATCCAGGTGGACACATTGAGATTTTTCAAGGAAGCAACTCAACCCATAGAGAATGGAGAGGAGTGAGACAGGACAGCTACCAACCTGGGAGTGGCATGGACCCATGAGAACCTACCCCCACTCTGTAGAAATGATGATTGAGTGAGAGTCCCCAGGGATCCACACATCTGCCATGAGCTTTTACAACTTTGGGCTCCGGGGATTCTTTCATGAGCCCCCTCACTGGGACCTCTAGACTGATATGGAAAGCTACATGGAGTCTGGGCAGAGCCAACACTCAGGTACATGAAGAGCCCTGGGAGCCATGGATCCCTGAGCATCCTGGCACTAGTGGCTGCAGCACCATCAATGGGGGAGGTCAAGTTCCCCTCCATGCCCACATGAAAGAAGATGAATGTACAGCGCTGAGCAGAGACATAATGCAGGCCTTGCCTCCACTGTACCTCACAGAATAACACCCAACTGGCCTGGGACCCTAGAGTGTCCACACCAGCCCCACCTGGGTTCTTGGGCTGGTAGCATCTCTGTACTTTCCTGGGATGGAACTTCCAGAGAGAGCGGGTTACCACTTTTGCTGCCCCACAGCCCTCGTTGCTATTGCTCTCAGGCTCTGTAGGGTGCAAAGTGCTTAGGGACTCATGTGGATCTGCAGCACTGAACAACCATCCCACGAGAAAGTGTCCAGACCGTTTCTCATGTGGGGCCCCATTTCTGTTTCTCCTCTCTGGACAGGTCCTCTCAACCTGGGACTCCAGCCACCCCCAACCTGGGCTCTCAGGTCAGTAGCCACTCTCAACTTCCAGGGAAGGAGCTCCCAAAAGAGGCCGGCTGCCATTTTTTGCTGCTATGTTTCATAAGTGAAAGAGAAATAAGATCCTTTTTAGCAAGCAAATGTTTAGGGAATTGGTTACCACCAGACCTGCCTTAGGAGAGTTCCTGAAGGAAGCATTAAATATAGAAAGGAAACACCATTATAAGCCACTAAAAAAACACACTTAAGTACAAAGACACATGACACTTTAAAGCAACCACACAAACAAGTCTGCATAATAACCAGCTAACAACAAGAAGACAGGATCAAATCTGTACATATTTATATTAATCTTGACTGTAAATGGGCTAACTGCTCAAATTAAAAGGCACAGAGTTGCAAGCTGGATAAGGAAACAACACCCAATATTATGTTGTCTTAAAGAGATCCATCTCACCCAGCAGTCCTGCCCCTGCTGCCCTCAGTCTGGGGAAGAAACAAAGAGCCTGAGAGCTTGACTTTCACTTCTAGCATGCCAGAGTCACTATATGAAGAGGAGCCCAGTCTCTTCTCTCTGTGAGTCCTCAACCCTCTGCTCTTCACCAAGTAGAGCCCACAGCTTAGGCCAGCAGAGGATCCACCCCAACCCCTGGCTGTACATTCTCAGTAGCAGTGGCATCACGCTTCCATGCAGTGAAGCTTCCAGAGTCAACCAAAAGCCCCTCTGCCACTGTAAGTGCATTGGTGCTACCCTTGCTGCCCTTGGACTGGGGAAGGAGAAAATACCCTGAGTGCTTTAATCATATCTCTAGCAAACTGCGGTTGTCCTAAGGAAAAGAGGCCAGTCTGTCTCCCCTGTGACCTGCACCTGCTCATCACCATGTTGCCACCCCACATGCAGCTGTCCCCGCACTGGGCCTATTGGACTCACTGGTAGTAGAGCCCCAAGAGAAAAGGGAAAGGCCCTATGCCACAACTACTACCAAGGTCCCTTTCTCTGCTGCCTCCAAGATGGGGAGGGATACAGAAAGCCTGAGCATGACCCAGAGCTGTGGTGTGCAGCCCAGGACTGCCAAGCTCCTGGGCCAAACAACACAGCCAGCACTGTAAGTGGGAGAGGATGTTTGCACTGAGATTTACAGCCAGAGCTCAACTGGGGGAAGAATCCACACTTTCAGAGCACTGAGAGGAAGCACTGCTGCAATCATGAGGAAATACGGAGGAGCCACATGGTTGAGGAAGAGCCTACATACTGACCATTATGCTTAAGTGCCATCTACTGGATCACAGCCCAAACTTGAACAACAAAAATACTTTTTAAATATACCCCAGTGTGAAACCAAGGGCAAGAATCCAGCTACAAATACAGACCCTGCGCAAAGCCTCAGCCCTCTAAAAACATCCAGAAAAGAAGTGTAATGTACTCAAATTATGCCACAGTTAAAGAAATATCAGACTACATAGATAAGAAAGAACCAGTGCAAGAACTCTGGCAACCCAAAAAGCCCAAGTGTCTTCCTATCTCCAAATGACCACACTAGTTCCCCAGCAAGAGTACTTAACTGGGCTAAATACCTGGAATCATAGAAATAAAATTCAAAAAATATTGATAGGAGCAAAGATCATAGAGACTCAACATAAAGTTGAAACCCAATTCAAGGAAACATTGGATTACAATAAAAAGATACAGAAACTGATAGATATAATAGCTGTTATAAGAGAGAACCAAACTAATCTGATACAGCTGAGAAACACACTACAAGAGTTTCATAATATACTTACAAGTATTAATGGTAGAATAGACCAACCTGAGGTAAGAATCTGAGAGCTAGCAGATTGGTTCTCTGAACTAGCTCAGTCAGACAAAAATAACGAACAATGAATTAAAAATTTGAACAAATCCCCCAAGAAATATGGGATTAGGTAATATAGATCAAATCTATGACTCATTGGTGTCCCTGAAATAGATGGGGAGAAAGGCAACTTGGAAAACATATTTTAAGATATCATACATGAAAACGCCACCAATCATGCTAGAGAGGCCAACATTGAAATTCAGAAAATTCAGAGAACTCCTGCAGGATACTACACAGGAAGACAATCCCTAAGACACGTAATCATCAGTTTTTCTAAGGTCAAAATTATATATACATATATATATATACACACACACACACACACACACACACACACGTATAAGTATATACATATGGCAGCTATACAGAAGGGGCCGGTCACCTACAAAGGTAACCACATCAAGCTAACAGCAGGCCTGTTAGCAGAAACCCTATAAGCCAGAAAATATTGGGGGCCTGTATTCACCATTCTAAAAGAAAAGAATTTCTAGCCAATAATTTCATATGAAGCCAAACTAAGTTTCAGAAGTGAAGGAGAAACAAGGTCCTTTTTAGACAAGCAAATGTTTAGGGAATTGGTTACCACCAGACCTGCCTTAGAAGAGTTCCTGAAGGAAGCACTAAATATAGAAAGGAAACACCATTATAAGCCACTAGAAAAACACACTTAAGTACAAAGACACATGATATTTTAAAGCAACCACACAAACAAGTCTGCATAATAACCAGCTAACAACAAGACAGGATCAAATCTGCACATATGTATATTAACCTTGAGTGTAAATGGGCTAACTGCCCAAACTAAAAGGCACAGAGTGGCAAGCTGGATAAAGAAGCAACACCCAATGTTATGCTGTCTTAAAGGGATCCATTTCACACACAATGACACCCACAGGCTCAAAATAAAGGGATGGAGAAAAATCTTCCAAGGATATGGAAAACAGAAAAAATCAGAGGTTGCTATTCTAATTTCAGATAAAAAAGACTTTGAATCAATGAAGATTAAAAAAGACGAAGAAGGTGATTATATATTGGTAAAGGGTTCAATTAAATAAGACCTCACTATTCTAAATATATACACACTGAACATAGGAGCACCCAAATACATAAAGCAAGTTCTTAGAGACACATAAAGAGACTTAGATTTCCACACAATAACAGTGGGAGATTTCAACACCCCACTGACAGTATCAGACAGATCATCAAGGAAGAAAATTAATAAATATATTTTGGACCTGAACTTAACACTTGATCAAATAGAACTAATAGACATCCACAGAACTATCCACCCAAAAACAACAGAATATCCATTCTTCTCATCTGCAAGTGGCACATACACTAAAATCAACAACATAATCGCCCTTAAAACAATTCTAAGCAAATTGAAAGAAAATATAATGCTAATCATACTATTGGACTACAGTGTAATAAAAATAGAATTAATAAGCAAGTTTCTCAAAACCATACAATTACATGGTAATTAAACAATCTGCTCCTGAATGACTTTGGGTAAATAATGCAATTAAGGCAGAAATCAAGAATTCTTTGAACTAATGATAATAAGAATACAACATACTAGACTCTCTGGGACACAGCCAAAGAAGTGTTAAGAGGCAAGTTTAAAGCACTAAACACCCACATCAAAAAATTTACAAACTAACTTTCCTAACAACCACATCAAAAAGTTAACAGCCTAAAGATCGAAAGTTGACAATCTACCATCACACCTAGAAAAACAAGAGCAAAGCAACCTCAAATGTAGCAGAAGACAAGAAATAATCAAAATCAGTGCTGACCTGAAGGAAACTAACATATGAAAAACAATACACAAGATCAAGTAATCCAAGAGACTGTGATTTGAAAAAATTAATACGATAGATACACCACTAGCTAGAATAATATGGAGAAAAGAGAAGATCCAAATAAACACAACCAGAAATGACAAAAGGAATGTTACCCCTGACCCCGCAGTAATATAAAAATCCCTTAGAGGCTAATACAAACACCTCTATGAACAAAAACTAGAAAATCTGAAAGAAATGGCTAAATTTCTGGACACATACAACCTACCAAGATGGAACCAGGAAGAAACAAAATTCCTGAACATAATAATAATGAGTTCCAAAATTGAAAATTAATAGAAAGCCTACCTCAACCAAAAACAAAAAAAAAAAATACCAGGACCAGAAAAATTCACAGCTGAATTCTACCAGATGTATAAACAGCTCATACCAGTCATGCAGAAACCATTGTAAAAAAATTGGGGACAAGGAACTCCTTCTCAATTCATTCTATGAGGCCAGCGTTACTCAGGTACCAAAACCTGGCAGAAATACCACACACAAGAAAACCTCAGGCCGATAACATTGATGAAAATAGATGCAAAAAGTCTTCAACAGAACACTAGCAAACTTAATCTAGCAACACATCAGAAAGGTAATCCATTATGGTCAAGTAAGCTTATCCCTGAGATGCAAGGTTGTTTCAACATACATGAATCAATAAATGTGATTATACATATTAGCAAAATTAAAAACAAAAACCACATGAATGTCTCAATAGATGCAGAAAAGACTTCTAATAAAATTTGACATCTTTTTATGGTAAAAACCCTTAAAAAATACTTACTGAAAAACGTACCTTAAAACGATAAGAGTCATCTATGACAACTTCACAGCCAACATCATACTGACTGGGAAAAACTAGAATCATTACCCTTGCAACCCAGAACAACATAAGCATGTCCTCTTTCACTACTCCTATAGAGCATAATACACCAAGTCCTGGTCAGAGCAATCAAACAAGAGCAAGAAAGAAAGAAAAGGAATCCAAACAGGAAAAGAGAAGTCAAACCATGCTTGTTTGCAGATGATACAGTTCTATAACTTGCAAGCCTCAAAGTCTCTGGCCAAAAGCTCCTTGATCTGATAAACAGCTTCAGCAATGTTTCAGGATACAAAATCAATGTACAAACATCAGCAGCATTCCTATACACTAACAACATCTAAGCTGAGAGCCAAATCAGAAACAATAGCATTCACAATAGCCACACAAATAATGAAACTACATTCCTATCTCTCACTATATGCAAAAATCAAGTAAAAGAAGACAAAGCAAGATGGTGGAATAGAAGGTTCCACCAATCCTCCCCCACCCCCCATTAAGGACACCAATTTAACAACTATCAACACAGAAGAAAATCTTTATAAGAACCCAAAATCAGGGGAGCACTCATAGTACTTAGTTTTAACCACCTATCTTTGAAAGAGGCACTGTAGAGATAGAAAAAAAACAATCCTGAATCACTGAGGCTGTCATTCCACTACCCCCAAGAAACAGCAGTGAGGAGCAGAGAGCATCTCTGGGCACTGGGGGAGGGAGAACACGGCATTTATAAGGCATTTAACTCAGTGCTGTCATGTTAGAACAGAAAGGAAAAGCAGACCAAATTCAGCTGATGCCCACCCAAGAATGCAGTATTTCAACCAGCCCTAGCCAGAGGGGAATCGCAGATCCCAGTGGTCAGAACTTAAGTTCCCACAAGCCTCACCAGGGAGGGCTACAGTGCTCTGTGTCTCCAAGTAAACTTGAAAGGCAGTGTAGGCCGTAAGGACTATAACTCTTAGGTAAATTCTAGTTCTGAACTAGGCCCAGAGACAGTAGACTGGGGGAGGGTTCATGTGACCTACTGAGACACCAGCTGGGGGCAGTGAAGGGAGTGCTGGCATCACTCCTCCCCTAACCCCAGGCTGCACAGCTCATGGCTCCAAAAGAGATCTCTTCTGCTTGAGGAGAAGAGATCAAAGAGTGGGAAAGACATTGTCTTGCATCTTGGATACCAGTTCAGTCACAGCAGGATAAGGCAGCAGTCAGAGTCATAAGGCCCCCATTCCAGGTCCTATCCCCCAGATAATATGTCTAGATACACCCTGGGGCAGAAGGAAACTGGCAGCCTTGAAATAAAGGGCCAAGTCCTGGCAGTATTCATCACTTGCTAACTGAAAAGCCTTTGGGCCATGAATAACCCGCTGTGATATCTAGTTACTACATCAGGGCTTTGGATGAACCAATCAAAAAGAGTAACTACAACAACTTTTCAAGACCTAGTCAATACAATAAGACAGGAATAAAAACAACAGAAAGTCAAAAAATGGGAGGATGAAGTTAATGCATGCAGTTTTTATTAATTTTATTTTTGCTTATTTGTTTATGCAAAGTGTTAAGTTGTTATCTGGTTAAAATAACGGGTTACATGATAGTATCTGCAAGCCTCATGAAAATTTCAAACCAAAAAAACTTACAATGGATACACAAAAAATAAAAAGCAAGAGACTAAATAATATCACCAGAGAAAATCACCTGCACTAAAGGAAGATAGGAAGGAAAGAAAGAAGGAACAGAAGACCACGAAACAATCAGAAAACAAGTAACAAAATGGCAGGAGTAAGTCTTTACTTATCAATAATAACATTGAATGTAAATTTAGCAAACTCTCTAATCAAAAGACATAAATTGGCTGAAAGGATAATAAAACAAGACCCATTGATCTCTTCCCTACAAGAAACACACTTCACCTGTAAAGACACACATAGACTGAAAAAGGAATGGAAAAAGATATTACATGACAATGGAAACCAAAAAAGAGGAGGAGTCACTATATTTAAATCAGATAACATAGATTTCAAGACCAAATGTATAAGAACAGACAAAGAAGGTCACTATATGATGATAAAGGGGTCAGTTTAACAAGTGTGTATAAAATATGTATGCATCCAACACTAGAACAACCAGATATATAAAGCAAAATTATTAAAGCTAGATTAAGAAATAGACTCCCAATACAATAATAGCTAGAAATATTAGTATCCTACTTTCAGGACTGGACAGATACTTCAAACAGAAAATCAAAAAGGAAACATCAGACTTAATCTGCACTATAGACCGAATGGTTATAATAGGTATTTACAGAACATTTTATCTAATGGCCACAGAATTCACATCCTTTTTCCCAGCGCATGGATCATTCTCAAGGATGCACCATATGTTAGGTCACAAAACAAGTGTTAAAAACATTAAACAAAAGAAATCATGTCAAGCATCTTTTCTGACCACAATGGAATAAAACTGAAAATTACTAACCAGAAGAATTTGGGAAAGTATAAAAATACATAGAAATTAAATAATATGCTCCTGAATGATCAGTGAATCCATAATGAAATTAAGAAGAAACTGAAACATTTCTTGAAACAAATGATATTGGAAACACAACATATCAGGACCTGTGAGATACATCAAAAGCAGTACTAAGAGAGACATTTATATCTTTAAGTGCCTACATAAAAAAAAATAAAGAAAAACATTCAATAAACAGTCTAAGGATAAATGCTTGAGGAGAGTGATACCGTGATCTTCATGATATTTATTTCACATTGTGTGCCTGTATCAAAACATCTCATGTACCCCATAAATATATACATCTACCATGTACCCACAATAATCAAAAATTAAAAATCAAGTCCAAATGAATTGAGTACTAAAATCTAAGACCGGAAACTATGAAACTGCTAAAAGAAAACATTGGGGAAAAGCTCCAGGACATTGTTCTTGGCAAAGATATTTTGTGTACGACTCCAAAGGTAAAGACAACAAAATCAAAAACAGACAAATGAGGTTACATCCAGCTAAACAGTTTCTGCACAGAAAAGGAAACAATTAACAAAGTGAAGCAACCAATAGCAAAGACTTGGAACCAACCCAAATGTCCATCAATGATAGACTGGATTAAGAAAATGTGGCACATATACACCATGGAATACTATGCAGCCATAAAAAATGATGATTTCATGTCCTTTGTAGGGACATGGATGAAGCTGGAAACCATCATTCTCAGCAAACTATCGCAAGGACAAAAAACCAAACACCGCATGTTCTCACTCATAGGTGGGAATTGAACAATGAGAACACATGGACACAGGAAGGAGAACATCACACACCAGGGCCTGTTGTGGGGTGGGGGGAGGGGGGAGGGATAGCAATAGGAGATATACCTAATGTTAAATGACGAGTTAATGGGTGCAGCACACCAACATGGCACATGTATACATATGTAACTAACCTGCACGTTGCGCACATGTACCCTAAAACTTAAAGTATAATAAAAATAAATAAATAAATAAATAAAAAACAAAGTGAAGAGACAATCCAGAGAAAAGGTAGAAAATATTTGATAAGTATTCATCTAACAAGGGATTAATATTCAGAATATATAAGTAACTCAAAGAACTCAATCGTAATAAAACTAATATTCTGATTAAAAACAGGCAAAATATCTGAATATACATTTCTCAAAAGAACACATACAAACAACCAACAGGTATATGAAAAAACTCTTAATGTCACCAATCATTAGAGAAATTAAAATCAAAACTACAATGAGGCATCATCTCCTCCCAGTTAGAATGATTTTTATCAAAAAGACAGAGACTAACATGCTGTTGAGGATGTGAAGAAAGAGGAACTCCTTTACACTGTTTCTGGGAATGTAAACTAGTACAGCCACTATGGAAACAGTGTGGAGAGTCCTCAAAAAACTAAAAATGGAACTACCATATGATCCAGCCATTCTACTACTGGATATGTGTCCAAAAGATAGGAAATTAATATATTGAAGACATATCCACATCCCCATGTTTATTGCAGTACTATTCACAAAAGCCAAAATGTGGAATCAGTCTAGTGTCTACTAATGGATGAATGAATAAAGAAAATGTGGTATGTATACACAATGGAATATCCATGAAAAATAAAATCTTGTCATTAGCAGCAACATGTATGGAACTGGAGGTCAATATGCTTAGTGAAATATGCTAGGCACAGACGGATAAATACTGCATGCATGTTGTCACTTATAGTTGGAGCTAAAAAGGTGGACCTAATGGAGTGTAGATTGAGGTTTATCAGAAATGGTAGGGAGTGAGGAGGATGAAGAGACGTTGATTAATGGGTACAAGTATACACTTGATGGAAGAAATAAGACATGGTGTTCAATAGATTAGTAAGGTGACTGTACTTAACATTAAGTGAGTGTACATTTCAAACTAGCCAGAAGATAAAAATTCAAATATTCCTGGCATAAAGAAAAGAAAAATATTTAAGATGATGCATAGCCTAATTATCCTGATTTAATTATTTGAATTATGAAAATACCACATGTACCCTGAAAATATGTAGAGCTAATATGCATCAATGAAAGGAAAGAAAAAAAGAAATACTTGCACAAATATGGAAATAAGTAGATAAGATAATATTTAACAGAGTTCTGTTCAGGACGACGGAAAGAAAAAAACTACATGTACAACACGGGAATGGCTAAATTAATTCTGGTTCATGCACAAAATAAAATACTATGCAGTTATTAAAATAACCAAATGTATGCAACTGTATATATTTTTAAACAAAACCGATTTATATACACACATACATATATTTACATGAAAATAGGAAAACATAACATTACAAACTGCAACATTATGCTGTGTGATTGCAATTCAATATGTATATGAGTACATGCATGTTGATAGGACCTTATACATCATAGGGAACCAAAAAACCTCTGGAGGCATATATAACAAAATTTAACTATAGTTTTGGTGGCAGGATGAATAGTGATTTTTTTTCTTCTTTTGCTTACCTGTATCTTAGGATGTTTTTATAATCGACAAGTAAACGTGCAATACTGTAGAAAATTATTTCAAAACCTAAAAAAGCTGTTTTTGAGTTTCTGGCTTGATGAATTTCGTGAAGATAATGGCACTATGTATTGTAGGGGATATACAAAACTTGTTTGGAATCAGTTAACAAGTCCAACATTACATGAATATGACATAACATGAGTCTGTATCTATTTAGACACACCCTTTTAGCTCAGCTTATCTCTGTAAATATAAAATTCAACAAAGTTGTGTGTTTGTTTGCTTCATCTGACTATACAGCAAAATTAATAATTCGACTAACAGTTTCAGTGATGCTAAAAATGTCACATACGTTTGGAGCATGCTCTTTTATTTTGATTCCCCTGCAACAATAATTTCTAGAGACCAAATATGCACTGCTCTCCTATGAACACCCAAGTCATCCTGTGGACACACTCCTTGTGAAGCTCTGGAGCACAAATCAAGTAGAGTGGGCTTTTCTAAAGGACTTCACCAATATAGGGGAGAATTCAAGGATTAGGAGTTTGCAGGAAATAAGCAGTGTTTGACCAACTGACAAATTTTGCTTTCTATCACAGTTGGCTTGTTTTCAAAGCTCTCCATCATGCCCATTCTACCTGTCTCCCATCTTGTTTCCTAAACACCTAAACACTCTCATAAGCTGGGCTCCACTCTGCACCATGGAAGACACTAGCCACATGTGGTTATTTCAACTTGAATTTAAATAAATTCAAATTAAATAGAATTTAAAATTCAACTCTCAGATGCACAAGACTTATCGCAAGTAATTAGTGGTAAAATATGCATAGTGGCTACTGCATGAGGCCGCACAGAATCTATCACAGAAAACCCTACTGGACAGCGCTGCTCATCTCAACCAGGAGTTGGTCCTCACTCTCAAGCACATCTAAAACTCTCCCATAGTTTTAGTTTCTGTTATTAAGATCATAGTTTTCTTCCGGATAATTTGATCAGTGCCAGGTATTACCTCCCCCTTCACGTAAGACACTGCTCCCTACATACCTACTCTAGCCTCTACGTGATACAGGTTCATTTTCTATCCCTTAACCATAGAGCAGCTGCAACAGTCACTCTCCTGAAGTTATCCACTTCAGTAATAAAGCTGTTCTCTCACAATGGGTTCCCTTTAGAGATTGAATCCTTCCCTCATGGAGCTGAATTCCATAAATAGGAGGCTCGCGTCATTCCAGCAGTACTGAAGGAAATCTGCTTCGGTGTCCACTCATAGCTGAGTCATCCTCATATTTTGGTTTATTTTTCTAAATGAGTCTTAGTGCACACCCATCAACCTGCTGTGATTGTGCAATCCTTACTGTCTTGATTCTATTAACTTACTCTGATTCTTTCTCAGATTTTGCATGACATGAAGATTTCACACAAAGCCAATCGCCTGGATAACTGGACTCTTCCACAGCTTACGAGGCTGCAGCTATTGAAAGGAATTTCTTTCTGGCCTTGTCATTTACAGTGTTTACCAAATTCATAAACATAAATTATTTCATAGAGTGTCACTTTGAGGAGAATATTTCACTCCAAGTACAAAGAAGTTTCTTGAATGAATCAGCCTTTCTCATGCTTTTGTTCACCTCCCACATGCCTGTGGTGTTCAATAAAACTGAAATCACGTAGACTGATTTTCTACACTCTTCAAGTGGCCCCACTGAGTTAGAGATTAAGAACCTTCAGTGCATAGCTTTCAAATTTTTTTAACATTACCCTCTAATGACCCAGTGTATGCACATGCACACACACACACACACACACCACAAACTCACAAATGAAACAAAAGTATCAAACCAATACTTCCCCTTACTTCCTATGATGCACTCAAAAATATTCAATTTTATATTGCTCTACAATTTTTTTTATTTTTTATTTTTATTTCATAACCAAAGGATGGACTGCAAACTGGTACAGTATATTGGTCTGGACAATTATGATTGCAAGGTAAATAAAATCTAATATAAAGTAGCCTACATAAATGGAGTATGTTTTGGAAGGCTGACATGTGTTTATAAAAATGAAGGAAAGGATGAACAACCAACCAAACTTCCAGAAGGCAGTAACCATAACACTCTGGATCCAGAAACAGGGACTTGACCACTTTCAGGACCCTCTCTCTCTGTCTCTCTCTTTTTGTCTTTCTATCTCATTCTATTTTTCTCCATCCCTCACCTCGGCTTCTGAGTGTTGACTTCCTTCTTGGTGAAGCTAAAGCTATGCCCTTCAGAGGAATTTGAAAAATATCAGGAGAGCAAACTCTGATTAGACTAGCTTGGGACATGTGCTCTCTCCCCAAACTGATACCTGACTATTGTGACCAACTTAGTAAGGTCAATGTAATGACATGGAAACACTCATTGCAACCTTAGATAGTACTAGGGGTGCAAGCCATTTTTTTTTAACGGGTGATAGCAGAAAAATGTCACAATTAAAAGAATCAATGGAAGCCAGACAGCCATGTCAATTTCTGAAAAATGTATCTTACCCCTTGACTACCTAGCACACACATACCTTCTTCCCATGATAAGAGTGAAAAATACCTCTCCTGATGTTACGATCGGCACCAAGACTACTGCAGTTTTTGCACTTGCACTCTCCAGGCCTCCTCCATGAAAGACAGCCCAGAGGCGGTTGTCTTTCATGTCTTTCAAGGCTACTCCTGGTGAGAGAATTTGAGTTAAATTTAGGCCATATACTTTGTTTATATTTGGCTAATTTCTCACTCTCTTGATCACAAGCTATGACTAGGAATGTATGTTATTTAAGAAAATAGTAGATTCCATGTAAACGATGTATTTGGGGGCAGAGGAGAATTCCTGCATAAAAGGAGGGTAGCACAAGCATGTTCACTGATGGGATTGTTGTGAGCCAGGCAGTGATCCTCATTTCATAGCCACTACTATTATGAATGAGTTCAAATGAACAAACATTTGTTGAATGCCTATTCAATTTCTCCCCTTGGGAACTGGATGAAGACAGTATGGCTAGATGCCGGCCATGGCAGCCAACACTGAGGAGGATTATAACCTTTGGTGAACTTATCAAGAAATGTTACTGAGGGCAGCCCCAAAAGACTGGACAGACTACAGAGCAATTTCAGTACTGCTGTGTTAGTTTCAAAGCTGCAGAAATAATTGAAGATCCAAGGGGGTGAATGCAAGATCCAAAATGAAAAGTAACACAAGAAATAAGAAAGAAGGGACATGTCAGGCAACAGTGACATCAAGAAAAGAAGGTAAAGGACTTTATCCCTGAATGAGGCTCAAGGGCTTGGAGTTCTCTCTAGCTGGGTGCCAGCTGTAAAGAGAAGAATCAGCTGGAGTCATGGTCATAAATAATGTACCAACATAAAATCCAGTCTTACAAACTACACTGGTTACGTGGGTGCCAAAGTTGTGGCATACAATACAACAATATCTTCTCTTTTGGCAGTTTTAACACATGCCTTGGGAAATAAGCAAGAACACAGTGCTTTAAGGCATGAAATAGTGTGTTTCAATGGAAAGAATCAAGACCTAGAAATCAGAAAAACTGATTTATTTGTTAATTTATAAGTTTAACAGATATTAAGTGGGTGCCTATTATATTCCAGGTACCGTCCTAGGAGCTGGAGATACAACCATGAACAAGATAAGACTCCTGTTCCCCTGGCTTATATTCTAGATAAACAGGTAGGGGCATATAATCAACACCTGCAGTTACCTCTCCAGGATCTCAGCTGAAGAAGGGTCTCTTTAGTTGGCACCCAGGCTTCTCTCAAGTTGCTCACCGCTTAGGGGTACTTCTGTTAATAGACAATTCAACTAGATATGTAAAATGTCATTAAAAATGTATTCATAGAATACTCGGGGAGATAAAGGAACAGGGACTGATTTCATTGCCTCAGTACTGAAACCTGTAACAGCAAGTAAGCAGTTAGGTGTAGATTGGAGGCTAGATTCTAAATTCCTTAAGGGCAGGGTCTCTGTCTGCCTCAAATATGTATACCCAGGGCTTAGAGGTTTACCGAGCACTTAAATTGTCAATAAATATTTGTTGAAGGAATGAAACAATACATGGAGATAAGAGAACTATGGCAATGGTTTGTACTGTATTTACAGTAAGCCAGCCCACTAGTGAAAAAGGGAAAAACCTAGTCAAACAGGCATTTGACGCCTTAGGGATATGAGTGGAGGGAGTTAAAAAGTTTATAGCTGGCTGGGCATGAGGGGTCGTGCCTGCACTCCCAGCACTTTGAGAGGCCAAGGCCAGCGGATCACCTGAGGTCAGGAGTTTGAGACCAGCCTGACTAACATGCTGAAACTCTGTCTCTACTAAAAATGCAAAAATTAGCCCAGGCATAGTGGTGGACCCCCATAATCCCAGCTACTCTACTCGGGAGGCTGAGGCAGGAGAATCGCTTGAACCCGGGAGGTGGAGGTTGCAGTGAGCCGAGATGGCGCCATTGCAGCCTGGAAGACAGAGTGAGATTCCGTCTCAAAAAAAAAAAAAAAAGTCATAATCTGGTAAAAACATATTTGTATCTGTTTTCAACAAATTGACTCACTCTTTAATGTGATCAAAATACCAGTTGTTATAGCATTATGTCAAGGTGGTTTCATAACAACAAACAAACAAATAAGCCAACAAACCACAAATGTTTGAGGCCTTTAGGAAACAGGTCAAAATATCAGGGTACCTTCTGTTCTCAGCAGTGGCATCTCCAAATGATTTGCTTAGGTTATTTTCAATCATTGCTGATAAATAACCTAGTTAACCTTCTTTATGTTTTCCTTCCCCACTCTTAAAATGACAGTGGGGTCATTTTAAGATGGTATTTTTAGCATTGTTAAAGCAAGAGTGTTAGTAACATGCTATTTACCAGAGTAAAACTACTCTAGTTTTAGAGTAGCCATTTGACAGCTATGGAGTCTCTCTACTGTCCTTTTTTAATTATTTGAGTATTTTGAAAAAATATAACCTTTAAAGTACACATTACATTTGTATGGACCTTGTTTGTATGCTGCTTTTTAAAATTCTATTGCCATATTTATTGCTGTGTATGCTAATACAAGTGATCAGTCATCTATTGATCATAGGCGCTCCCAGATCTGTCTGCCTCTGTTAAGGCTACCCTCCACACACGTAAACTAAAAAATAATAAGAGCTTATGTATAAATCAAGAACAATAGGAGCTAAGTCTCTCAATGTATTAAGATGATTCACCTGAAAAGAGGATATTGCCATATACTGGTGTCTGACACATAACAGACATAGAACCCAAGGATCCAGGAATAGCAGCATGCATATACCTTGGAAAATGTGTGGTTTTCATGACTGGTTCTCCTTCGCTCAAAACTTCTGGAAATAGGCCTCTTATCTACTGTGTAAGCTTTAGTCCCTCAGAGTATCCAGCCCTGCTTCTTGCCTCATTCCTGCTAGCTAGCTGTGTTGCTAGAGAACCTCTCTATTCCTTTCTCATAGTCAACTTTCCTTCCAGGGGATCTCCTGCCACTGCAATCTTTGTTTTATACTCTGGAAACTTTATTCCCAATATTGTTCTCTACACTTTCAATCCCCCTTGGATTCTCACCTCTACTAAGGATTCTACTGAAGTTTAATATTTTCCTAGGTTCTTTTGTCAAGAATTTTTGTCCTCTAACTCCTAAGGAAAAAGAAGGCTGCCAACTCCATCAGGGGAGAAGGGAACCCTTCTTATTCCTCTGGATCTGCCCCCTATCCCACTCCTCTGTGCCACCCTCCTCCAAGCATTCTGTCTGGCCATTACTGAGTCATGGTTTATAATAACTTCTTTTTAGAAACCACATCTGACTTGTTCACCATATTAGCACTCTTTTTATCAATTGATATTAGCCAAATGTAGTTGCTATTATGATGACCATTTTGTAAATAAGGAAATGAGACTCAAAACAATAAAAAAGCATGTAACACTACACAGTAAGCTAATGACACAGATTTCCTTTGTCCTTCACTTCTTCCTTCGACACTACTGTATAAGATACTGATGTTTCTGTTTATATTAAAAATATTCATAAAAGTCAATGCTTCTTCCTTCAACACTACTGTATAAGATATTGAAGTTTCTGTTTGTATCAAAAATATTCATAAAATCAACGTGCATTGAGCTTTATTGCAACTTTAAAAACCATATAAAGTAACCATTATTTAAGACATGATTTTATGCAAAGTTATTTAAAATTTGTTTCCAATAAATTGAATATATATGCGTGTACACCATATATAATATGATATCGAATTTTCTGTGTTTCTATGAGTTTTTGTTTTCCCAACCATTTAGTAAGGCTGAAGCCCAGTGCCTTTAAGGAAATTCACATCATTGTACCTTCCATCTCATGAGAAGGGTGAGGGGAGCTCTTTTCTATTATACAAAAATAGCTGAATGAAATCTTCTAAAAATAAAAAGGTGAACAAGGTCAGAATAGGTGTTGCAGAAGAGAGGGTTTTAACTTCTTACTAGGTGAGACAGAATCCTCATAATAAAAATCAGATTTCTTCGGTATCTAAATTTTATGGATTTGGAATGTTTAACATAAAACATGGTTATTATAGTCTAAGAATGTACACTGGAGTAGAAAATAATATGTACAGAAGTTCAATATTCATCAATTCAATAAACATTTATTGAGCACCTTCCATACAGCAGGCATTGTTCTAGATAAGAGGGGCAGGGGACACAGCAGTGAACAAACAAGATAAAATCTCTGTTTTCATGGAGTTTATATATTAGTACAGACAAACAGTAAACAAAAACAAAATTATTCGTTTAGTGGCAATAAGTGTTATGAGGAAGGGAAAACAGAGAAGAGGAATATAGAGCAATAGAAAGGCACAATATTTTATTTAGAATGCTCAGAGGCAGCATCAATGATTAAGTGAAATTTGAACAGAAACTTGAATGAAGTGAGAAAATAACATATGAAGATTTGGAAGGTGTGACCAGCAGAACAATGTTCCCCAAACATATCCATGTTTTAATCCCTGGGATCTGTGAATGTAGTGAAATCTGTGAAAAGGGACTTTGCAGGTGTGATCAAGTTAAGGATTCTGAGATGGGAAAATTATCCTGGGTTATCTAGGTGGGTTCAACGTAATCACAAGGGTCCTTGTAAGTGAAAGAAGTAAGCAGAAGTGTGGGTGACAGAAAGATTTAAAGATGCTCTTTGCCTGGCTTTGAAAATGGAGAAAAGTGCCACAAGCTAAGGAATGTGAATGGTCTCTAGAAGCTGTGGAAGGCAACAAAACAAAGGATCTCCTAGAGTCTCCATTAGGGAGGCAGCCCTGCCCAGATCTGAATTTTAGCTCAGCGAGACCCATTTCAGACTTCTGACCTCCAGACCTGTAAGAGAATAAATCTGTGTTGTTTTAAGCCACTAAATGCATGGCAGTTTGTAAAAGCCTCAGTAGCAAACTAATGCAGGAGCAAAGGGTTTTCTAAACAGAGAGAACAGTAAGTGAAATGGGCTAGAGGTATGAATATGCTTGGTGTATCTGAGCAAAAGCAAGGAGGCCACGGTGACTAGAGCCCCGTGTGCAGCAGACAAATAATGATGAGATGAGGTCATAGAGCTAACACTGGCTATATCAGGTAGGGTCTTGCAGGCAGTGGTAAGGCCCTTGAATTTTATTTGTATAGTAAGATAAACCATTAGAAGATTTTGGTTGGAATGATCAGAGTAGGCTGCCTGCAGGAGTGAGCATTTTCATTGATTGTATAGGAGTTTATTCAACAGACAGAATGTGAGATATGAGTATAGCATGAATAAGACAGTGGTTGCAGGCAGTTCATGGAAGACTCTGAGATGGCATTAGACTAGTTTACATAGGAAAATACTATAGAAAGACTGATAAATTGATAAAGATTGATTCACTGGACCTCATAAAAAGTTAAAAAAAGACAAGCTATCAAATGAGAGAAAAATAACTGCAAACCGCATATCTGATAAGATACTAGTATCTTGAATATATAAATAATTATCAAAAATCAAAGGTAGAAAAATAAGCAATACAATTAAAAATGGGCAAAAAACATGAAAGGATATTTAACAAAAGAAGATATACAGATTGCATATAAGCAAATGAAAAGATGTTCAATGTTATTAGCTATTTAGGAAAATGCAAATTAAAAAAGCAAAGTGAGATATTACTATATACCTATCAGAATGGCTAAAAATAAAAAAAAAAAATAGTGACAGCACCAAATGCTAGTGAGAATGTCATGAAACTGTCACACATACATTTCTGGTAGAAATGCAAAATGGCACAGGTACTCTGGAAAACAGGTTGGCAGTTTCTTTAAACACTAAGTATGCAACTACACTCTCACCCAGCAATTGCACTCCTGGGCATTTATACCAGAAAAATAGAAGCTTATGTTCACACAATAACCTGTACACAATGTTTATAGCAGCTTTATTTATTTATTTATTTATTTTTATTTTTGAGATGGAGTCTCGCTCTGTTGCCCAGGCTGGAGTGCAGTGGCACGATCTTGGTTCACTGCAACCTCCACCTCCTGGGTTCAAGCAATTCTCCTGCCTCAGCCTCCCGAGTAGCTGGGATTACAGGCATACGCCACCACACCTGGCTAATTTTTTTGTATTTTTAGTAGAGATGGGGTTTCACCATATTGGCCAGGCTGATCTTGAACTCTTGACCTTGTGATCTGCCTGTCTCGGCCTCCCAAAGTGCTGGGATTACAGGGGTGAGCTACCGTGCCCAGCAGCAGCTTTATTTTTAACATCAAGGAACTGGAAACATCCCAGTACCTGATGGCCCAGTACTAGACTCCTTTTTCTTTCACCATTAACTTATTCAGTCATTAACTACATTCCAGCCACACTGGATTTCTCTCTAATTCTTAAACCTGCCATTACTTTTTCCCTCAGAGTGTTTGCCCAATTATTCAGAAGAGTCTTACCCTAGACCTTCATTTGGCTTGTCGTTACCATTTCCAATCTTTCCTCACAAGTTCTAGTCCTTTAGATCTCCCAACATTTTTATTTTGGTTTACATTCCCTCATTGAGGCTATTCCTAAGAACCCTGACCAAATTACCTCTCCTCCAATCATTTTCTCACGCCCATCTAATTTCTTTTCTTCTTAGTACTTATAACTAACTGAACTCATGTTGTTTATTTATTCATTTGTTTTCAGTTATCTGCCTCCATCCCCAGTACAATGCAAACTAAATGAAAGCAGGATTCTTTATGTCAGCATTCTCAGATCCTCTAGGAATGCCTGACCCATAAAAGAAACTCAATAAATATCTGAAGAATGAATGAATGTATTTAAAAACAACTTGTTAAATGGAATTCCTTTAAAATTTAACAGATTAGCTGGTCCATTAAGTATGTCCTTCATATAAAGCAAAGAGTAGGTAACAAAAATGAAATTAGAATTATATGGTATTCTTAAGTAGCATATCTGCTATCACATGTTTAATGTGATCAGATAGTACTACTTCAGCATGTCCAGTTAGAGGTTTAAAATAGCATTTGGGAATGGACTCTTCCTTTGCAATTTCATTAGATAATCTTTGTTCAACCAAAGGCCTGGTTTTTGAACTTTAATTAGATTTAGGGTGAACATTTAGGCTCTGTTATTTGTTGGTCAAAGGACACGCTTTATATGCTCATTGTCTTTCCCATTGCAAACAAGAATATCAGTCACTGAACATGAGGACCAAAGTAAGAGACAAAAACTACAAAGCTAATGATAATTGCTTTAAAGTAAATAAGAAAAAGTATACATAACAAATAAATGAAAATACAGTAACATGAAAATGATACTACATCCATCAGCAGGAGCAAGGGGGTCAGAAAGGGAAATAAATGTCATGTGTTACGAAAGTAGAAAAAGATAAACAAATGCTGTAGCTTCTCGTTCATCCACTATTATTTAAAAAATAATTGTGAAGATATATGAAACCTAAAACCTATGTGTTTATATTTTTATGTGTTGAATTAAATATTTTTTAAAAGGCATTGTATTTCTTTCTGCTTGGCAAACTCTTGTCCACACTCACAGATAACATATTTTACTTTACAGAAACTTCTAGCCTAACTTCCCACTCATTAACAGAAACTTCCTGACACCTAATCGGGAATGCTGCAGAAGAAATTTCACAGCTCAGAGTCATCTGGAATATTTTAATATTAAAATATTATGCTGATTCATTTTGACTTTAATAACCTTTCAAATAAAAGCATCAATTATCTCTGATATTTGACAAGTTAAATAGGCATTATTGTGCAATGACAACTATGCAGACAAGTTTTGTCCTAGGCTCGAAACTCTCTTCACCTCTTCAGCCTCAATTTTCTAATCTGTAAAGTGAAATGGTTGGCTTTTTTAATATTTCTAAAATAGGTTCTGCTTTTTAAAAATCAATTATTCTGTGAACTGGCTTTCATCAACCATAGTATAGTATAAAATGCCTTGGGATCTAGTGATGGTTGGAGAAGTAAAGTTTATTATATTGTCAACTTTTAATTTTCTTTACTTGTTAAAATTGAACAGACTGTAGAGCATGCACAAACATTCTTTCTTTCTATTTATTTATTTATTTATTTATTTTTTTTTTTTTTTTTTTTGAGATAGAGTCTCACTCTGTCACCCAGGCTGGAGTACAGTGGCATGATCTCGGCTCATTGCTACCTCTGCCTCCCGGTTCAAGTGATTCTCCTCCCTCAGCCTCCCTAGTAGCTGGGATTACAGTCATGTATCACCACGCCCGGCTAATTTTGTATTTTTAGTAGAGACGGGGTTTCCCCATGCTGGTCAGGCTGGTCTCGAACTCCTGACCTTAGGTGATCCGCCTGCCTCAGCCTCCCAAAGTGCTGGGATTACAGGCGTGAACCACAGCACCCAGTCACAAACGTTTTTTCAGTGTAGTCTCATCTATGCACTTTAAAGGTAGCATTTGCAGCTTAGATAACCAGGAACTTCATGGAGATGACCAATGGGGTACAGTAATTCTGGATTTACTACAAGTAGCTCTGAAACTTTTTCCCTACTATGTTAACTTTTTATCTAAACAATTGAAATTTAAGGTTTAAAAATTGGGAAAGAGTAACTAAAGTATAAGTGGGAAAGAGTAACTAAAGTATAAAGTAGGGAGATGTAGTGATCAACTGATTAAATATTCTTCATTTCCTAGATTTGTAAGTTGTTTTTATTTACTCTTGTTTTGCTACAGAGTATAGACTATGAGCACTGAGTTTGTTACCAAGACATTCCCAAATGATGTCAGAGGAAATGGATCCCCTTGATGTCCTTGCCTCTGCTTTTACTAAGAATTAATAAACTTAGCTATCTGTGCCAATGTCTATATTAGCTCTCTAATTCTTTATCATAATGGAATTTCTAGCCAACCCTACATTTTGTCATTCCATTTACTTTATCCATCTTGGTTCTCTGAAAGACAAGGTTAAAACAAAACCCATCAGCTTGAGTAATTCAAATTGAGCTGCCAAAACAACTCAGCAGAAAGCAAAATTAGAAAACTATGCCACCCCTCCCCCTTACATCTTCCATTGTTACCTTTTCCTTGTGTAATTTCAAGTGTTCTTTGAATTAAGTCCTGTGGTTTTTACAAAAAAAAATGACATTTTTAAAATAAGGTCTTTGATTTTTCAAATTGCAAAAGCAAAAGGAGTTTAAAATAGAAAATTTGGAAAATATATCAACATCAGAAAAAGGAAACAAAATTATTTCCATCACTGAGATTTCATCATTGTTTATAACTCAAAGGCTTTTCTTCCTGCATGGGATTATGTTATAAATAAAGTG
This sequence comes from Homo sapiens, assembly GCF_000001405.40. Taxonomy (NCBI): domain Eukaryota; kingdom Metazoa; phylum Chordata; class Mammalia; order Primates; family Hominidae; genus Homo; species Homo sapiens. The sequence goes on from NC_000023.11 coordinate 145,620,630, forward strand.
TGGCATTATTTTTTTAACATTTAAAATTACATCATAAGACTGTCCTTTGTCATTAAATATTCTTCAAAAACATAATTTTACTGGTAGTATATCATTCCATCATATGGATATATGAAAACTGACAGTTAACCAAACCAAAGAAAGAGCTGGTTGAAATGAATTATTAAAGCTGTCTTTCTCTTCTTTCCATCATTCTTGATGGCAACAGAGCAGTCAACGTAGTTTGAATTGTGTCATTTCTTCTCTATAAGCCATGATGACAGGAATCTCATTATCATCTGTCCCTGGTAACAAAGGTGAAAATCACACTGTCCTTTTAACCCCTTATTGAATACTTCTGTCACTTGTTATACCTTCAGGGCCTCTCCTGTGTGTGGTGTGCAATCATTTAGTACTCAGCAGAGAGGAAGTGACAGAAGCTTGGGCAGAGAGCACTTCATGTTGGCTTCTACACCCCCACCCCCAGAACACAAGACAGAGACAGAGGTCATACTAATATTGTAACCGAGCCACAGCCAAAGCATCATCATACTTAGATCAGGCAGAACATCGGGGAATTCTGTTTGCCTCTCTCCCTAGATCCCCAGACAATACACTTTTGGAAAATGGGGTGATCTCAAACTCTGCTCTCCAATCCATCTACTCCCAGAGCCCAGCATCAGCCGTCACAGAAAATATGATGTCTGTTGACAGCAACATTACAGAAGTTGCTGGAGACCAATAATAGCTTATTTATTATGTGCCCTTATTTGACAGCACATTAAATATTTTTCTACTTTTAATAGAATGTGAATTTATTTCCTTTCTGCTGGTTTGCAATAGAAGTAATAATCTCTAAGCCTCTCCTTCACCATATTATCACTATGATTGGTACCATTAAGAGGGGTCTCACTTAAGTACCTCGTTAGTCTTGATACATCCTTCAGCAAATATAACCAAGCCTGTCTCCCATCAAAGACTGTGTAGTGCTTTCAGCAGCTTCAAAACTGAGTTTAATACGACTCTAAGTCTCTCCTGTGTCCCACTTTCCAAAGTTCTAAAGACTTACCAGGACACATAGCCTCATACCTGTAACATCTCAAAAACTGAACAAAACTTTCAATTGCTTCAGAAGCTTATAATAAAAACATAAACAAAAGAAACAACAAAATTATGTCTTCAGGACGAACAAAAATAATGTCTCCAAAGAAACACAAGTCAAAATCTTGACCAGTATTGTTATTGCCAGCTGCAGACCCAGGCAGAGGTTTAGTATTACTTGGAAGAAGGTATTCAAATGGGGTAAGAAAAGTGAGTAAACACTCTGAGTTTCAGCTTCATTTTCACTCCATTCAATCTAACACAATTGACTATACTTGAGAGACAATGAATTAATACTCAACTTTGAGTTAGCCTTCAATCAAGTGGCTGATTTTAATAGCCAGCTTTCCTAATCCTTGAAGAAGAATCCTACTGCATATACCACCTCTCTGCCTAGATAATGGCATTTGAAAAACCCCATCATTTGGTAAAGTTTAGAAATGTGTTATGGTTCTACCCCTTTTTTTCACTTAGAGTTCTTTCTATATTAAAATCCTTGCATTTCCATTCCTCATTCACAAATAGCTCTAAAAGAAGAGTAGGTATTTACAAAAAAAAAAAAAAAAAGTAAAAATACTATCCTACTATAAACAATTATCTGAAACTTTATTTTCTCACTTAATAATGTGGCATATGTCATTATATATGAGACATACTCTTTTTCACATTTAAAATTATATTATTAAACATTTTAAAATTAAATTATATATTATATACATTATGTAATATATATATATATATACACACCATGGAAATAGTATAAATAAGCTGTATATATATATATATACTTGCATATATATATATATATACACACCATGAAAATAGTATAAATAAGCTTGTATCTATCTCTCTCTATATATATATCACAGATTATTTGATGATTTCACTATCTGTTGACTCTTATTAATTTTTCTTTCCTTCCTTTCTTCTTTATTTCTCTCTTCCTTTCTTCCTTCATTGCAGCATCATTCACAATAGCCAAGATATGGAAACAACCCTATTGTCTACTGACAGGTGAATGGATAAAGATAATGTAATATATATATATAAATATATATACGTAGATATATAGATAAAAAATGGAATATTATTGAGTCTTAATAAAGAATAAAATTCTGACATATGTGACAATATGAATGAACCCAGAAAACATTATGTTAAGTGAAACAAGCCAGGCACAGAAAAGCATATAGTGCACGATTTCACTTATATGTGGGAGCTAAAATAGTCTTCGCTCCCCCTTACTAAACAATGGCTTTAAAAATTGTCTATTCTCATTGCTTCCACTTCCTTACATCCATCCTCTCATCAACCCACTCCATTAAAATTGAATTTTCTATCATTCCACCAAAACTCCCTCTATCAAAGATGGAGTGACCTCCACATTATAGATACACTGATTAATTCTCATTTCTCCTCTTCTTTGATCCATTGGCAACATTACAACCATTGGTATTTCTTCTTTCTTGAAATACTCTATTCTTGTGTTCAAGAATACTTGTTCTTGTTTCATCTTTCTCGTGTACTGCTTATTGCTTTTCATCTTTCTCCTTTGCTGAGTCCTTATCTTCTCACTGATCTCTTAACTTTGGAGAAACCCAGAGCTCAATCCTCAGACCTCTTCTATATACTTATTCCCTCAGTAATATTTTCCAGTTCCATTATTTAACTACCATCTACATACTAGTAATTCCTGATATATCTTCCAGCATTTTATATCACCGGCTACCTATGTGACATTTTCACTTAGATGTATGAGTCAGATTACACTGCAGTAAGAAACAGCATGAAAATGCCTGTGGCTTAAAACAACAATGTCTATTTCTCATTTATACCGCATGCCAGGGAATCAGCAAGAGGTCTACTTATTGTAGTTATTCATGGACCATGGCTGATGGAAGCTCCATCTTGACACCTGTTTTCATAATCACAGAGTCAAAAAAAGAGAAGATGACAAATCATGCATGTTGATTCTTGAAGCTTTCACTGAGAATAAATGCATGTCACATCTGTTCACATCTCAAGCACTTACCATCTGACATATTATTCACTTAACAATTTACAGGTTAGTTTTCCATTTCTCTCTATTACAATGTAAGCTCTATGAGTTCACAGACTTGGTTGTATTTGCTGCTTTATTTTTAGTACCTAGCACAGTGTCTAGCACATAGTAGGCACAAAATAAATATTTATTAAATAAATGCTCTCTTGTATTTATTTCAATTTATTTTATTCTACTTAGTTGAATTATTGATAAACACATATGACGATTAATCTTCTAAACTCATCTTTCACCACCATCCATATACTTTGAGATGTAGTGCTCCCACTGGTAACATATCCAAATGGTCTGCAGTTGGAGTTGGAAGTTCCCCTTTGACCTAAGTGTTATTTAGAACAATATTTTAAAATATTGGTTGCATATTTCTATGAATTTCAACTGTTTATTTTTAATTTCTAGCTTTATTTCATAGTAATCAGAGAAGCAGTAGAGGAGGGTGCCAAAATAAAGAATTTCTATCATCAGCATACTCTGTGCACATAAAAAAATGTGCAATTACAGCAAATAAACATTAACTACAGGATAAAATATCAGATCTTTCGCATTTTCATGAAATCTAACCTTACTAAATATTTCATCTCTTCTATGTTTTCTTCCAAGGTTTCTGCATGCTGTTCCCATGACAATATGCACATTGAAAGAGGGTTATAAAGTCCTAGCATGTAATCCCAGAGGAATATAAATTAACTTTGTTATAGGAGACATGCTTAGGTTGTTCCTGCCTTGTTTACATTTTGTATTTAACAGCACTGTCCTTCTAAACTCTCAAAAAATATATATGCTGAGGAGGCAGAGAAAGATGATGAAATGGAAGTCTTTACCAGTTGCCACCCCACCCCTCAAGTACACCAATTTAACAACTATGTACATTAAAAATGCACCTTTATGATAACCAAAAATCAGGTGAGCACTCACAGTACTGGTTTTAACTTCATATCATTGAAAGAGGCACTAAACAGCTAGAAAAAAACAGTCTTGATTCACCAGTGGCACCCCTCCCCAACCCCACTGCAGCTGCAGCAAGGTGCCAAGACGGTTTAAGTGCACTGCAAGGGGGAGAACACAGCAATTGTGAGGCTCTGAACTCAGTGATGTTGTATAAGAGCAGAAAGAAAAACCGGACCAAACTCAACTAATGCCTGCCCATGAAGGGAGAATTTAAACCAGCCCTAGCAAGAGGGGAATCACGCAACCCCAGAGGTCGGAACCTGAGTTCCTGCAAACCTCACCAACCTGGGCTAAGGTACTCTGGGGCTCTAAATAAATGCGAAATGCAGTCTAGGAAACAAGGACTGCAACACCTAGAAGAGTCTTAGTGAGGGACCGGGGCCAGAGTCAGTGAACTGGGAGGCAGAAGACCTACTGAAACTTCAGCTTGGGCAGCCAAGGGAGTGCTGGCATCTCCCCTCTCCTCACTTCAGTCCGCAAATTTCAAAGCCCCAAAAGAGACTCCTTCCTTCCGCCTGAGGATAAGAGATGTAACTGTGGAAAGGACTTTGTCTTTCATCTTGGATGCCAGCTTAGCCACAGCAGGATAGGGCACTCATCAGAGTCCTGAGGCCCTGTTTCCAGGACCTAGCTCCCAAATGACATTGCTAGACACACGCTGAGCCAGAAGGGAACCTGTTGCCTTGAGGGGAAGGACCTAGTTCTGGCAGCATTCATCACCTGCTAACTGAAGAGCCCCTGGGCCCTGAATAACCAGCAGTGATACCCAGGCACTAGATTGAGGGCTTCGGGTGGGGGTCTGAGCCTTGATGGATTCAGGTAAGACTCAGCAAATTTCTAGCTGTGGTGACTGTAGGCAAAGACTCCTTCTGCTTGAGAAAAGCAGAGAGAAAGGTAAAGGGGATTTTCTCTTGCACGTTAGGTACCAGTTTAGCCACAGTGTGTAGAGCACCAAGCAGGCATTTGGAGTCCCCGATTCTGGGACCTGGCTATTAGATGGCATTCCTAGACCTGCTCTGGGCCAGAGAGGAGTTCATGTCTCTGGAAGGTGAGTCCCAGGCAAGGCAGCACTCACCACATGCTGACTGAAGAGACCTGGCCCCTTAAGGGACTATTGGCAGTAGGCTGGTAGTATTCCACATGTGCCCGTGGTGGTAGTGGCTATGGGGTGAGGCTCCTCTGCTTTTGGAAAAAGGAGGGAAGAGTAGAAAGAACGGCATGCAGTGGATTGACTGCCAGCTCAGCCACAGTACAACAGAACACCAGGCAGACTTCTAAAGTTTTTGAATCTAGTCCCTGGCTCCCAGACTGCAACTCTATAACTGCCTGGGGCTAGGGGGAACTTGCTGCCCTGAAAGGAAGGACAGAGGCCTGGCTGTCTTTGCCACCCACTGATTGTAGAGCCCCAGGGTACTGAGCAAACATAGGTGGGAGAAAGGAAGTGGTTACAGTAGGCCATGGGTGAGACCCAATGATGCGCTGGCTTCAGGTCTGACCCAGTGCAGTCACAGTGGTAGAGGCCACAGTGGCGCTTACATCACTCCATGCTCAGCTTCAGGTGGCTCAGAACAGAGAGGGAGAGACTCTGTACATTTGGGAGAAACTAAGAGAAGAGAACAAGAGTTTCTGCGGATAATCAAAAGAATTCTCCTGAATCTTGTCCAAGACCTTCAAAGCAGTACCTCTATAGGTCTGCAAGAACAACAGTGTTACTGTGCTTGGGGTGCCCCCTAAAGCAGACACAGCTTAGATCAGAACACCCAAGTCCTTTAGAATATCTGGAAAGCCTTCTCAAGAAGGACAGGTACGAACAAACCCAGACAGTGAAGACTGCAATAAATATGTAACTCTTCAATGCCCAGACACAGATGAACATCTACAAGTATCAAGATCATCCAGGAAAACATAAACCCAACCAACTAACTAATAAGGCACCAGTGGCCAATCCTAAGGAAACAAAGATATCTGACCTTTCAGACAGAGAATACAAAATAGTTGTGTTGCAAAAACTCAAAGAAATGCAAGATAACAAAGAGAGGGAATTCAGAATTCTATCAGAGAAATTTAACAAAGAGAATGAAATAATTTAAAAGAAGCAAGCAGAAAATTTGGAGCTGAAAAATGAAATAGGCATACTAAAGAGTGCATTACATTTTTTAAATAGCAGAATTCTTCAAGCAGAATAAAGAATTAGTGACCTTAAAGACAGGCTATTTGAAAATACCCAGTAAGAGGATAAAAAACAAAAAAATAAAAATAGAAAACAAGGAAGCACACCTACAGGATCTAGAAAATAACTGCAAAGGGGAAAATCAGAGCTAATGGCCTTAAAGAGGTGGTAGAGATTGAGTTAGAAGTAGAAATATTATTCAAAGTGACAATAAGAGAGAATTTTTAAACTTAGAGAAAGATGTTAATATCCAAGTACAAAAAGGTTATAGAGCATCAAGCAGATTTAACCCAAAGATGCTTACCTCAAGGCATTTAACAACCAAACTCCCAAAGGTCAAGGATGGAGAAAGGATCCTAAAAGCAGCAAGAGAAAAGAAAAAAAATGTGCAGCGGAGCTCCAATACTTCTGGACATCTCAGTGGAAATCTTATAAGCTGGAAGAGAATGGCATGGCATATTTAAAGTGCTGAAGGAAAATACTTTTACCCTAGAATAATATATCTCGTAAAAATAACCTTCAAACATGAAGGAGAAATAAAGACTTTCTTAGACAAACAAAAGCTGAGGGATTTCAGCCACACCAGACCTATCCCACAAGAAACACTTAATGGAGTACTTCATTCAAAAATAAAAAGATGTTAATGAGAAATAAATCATCTGAAGGCGCAAAACCCACCGGTAATAGTAGCTAAACAGAAAAACACAGAATATTGTAACACTGTAAATGTGGTATGTAAACTATTCTTATCCTTAGTAAAAGACTAAACTATGAAACAGTCAAAAATAATAATGACAACAATCTCTGCAGACATAGACAACACAATAAGATGCAAACACTAAGTACAAAAGGTTAAAAAGTAGGTAACAAAGTTAAGGCACAGTTTTTATGAGTTTTCTTTTTGCTTGCTGGTTTGATTGTTTGTCCATGCAAACAGCATTATTATCGGCTTAAGATAATGGGTTACAAGACAGTATTTCCAAGCCTCATTGTAACCTCAAACCAAAAAACTTACAACAGACACACCAAACATGAAAAGCAGGAAATTGAATCATATCACCAGAGAAAATCACCTTCACAAAAAAAAGAAAGGAAAGAAGGAAAAAATTAAAAAGCCAGAAAACAAATAACAAAATGGCAAGAGTAAGTTCTTACTTACCAACAATAACACTGAATATAACTTTACTAAACTCTCCAATCAAAAGATATGAACTAAAATTTCCAATCAAAAAACATACACTGGCTGAATGAATTAAAAAAGTAAGACTCACTCACCTGTGGCCTAAGAAAAATACAGTTCACCTATAAAGGCACACATATACTAAAAATAAAAGGGTAGAAAAAGATATTCCATGCACATGGAAACCAAAAAAGAAAGAGAAAGAGTAGCTATACTTACATCACAGAAAACAGATTTCAAGACAAAATCTATAATAAGAGACAAAGAGGAACACTATATAATAATAAAGGAGTCAATTCAGCAAGAGGATATAACAACTTTAAATACATATGCACTCAATAAAGGAGTCCCCAGGTAGATGCAGCAAGTATTATTAGAGCTAAAGTAAGAGATAGACTCCAATACAATCAGAGCTGCATACTTCAACACCACACTTTCTTCATTGGACATATCTTCCAGACAGAAAATAAACAAAGATACATTAGACTTATCTGCGCTATAGACCAAATGGATCTAACAGATATTTACAAAACATTTCATCCAATGGCTGCAGAATATACATTTTTTTTTTCCTCAGCACATTGATCATTCTCAAGGACAGACCATATGTTAGGTCACAAAATATGTCTTAAACAATTGAAATTATATCAAGCATCTTCTCTGACCACAATGGAATAAAACTAGAAATCAATAATAAGAGAAATTTTTGGAAACTATACAAACACATGGAAATTGAACAATATGCTCCTGAATTATCAGTGGGTCAATAAAAAAATTAAGAAGCAGATTGAAAAACTCCTTGAAACAAGTGACATTGAACATACAACACACTAAAACCTATGGGATGCAGCAAAAGCATCCTTGGTCTATGTATCCTTGTTTGCAGATGATATAATCTTATATTTGGAAATATCTAAAGACTCCACAAAATAACTATTGGAATTATAAAACAAATTCAGTAAAGTTGAAGATACAAAATTACTATGCAAACATCAGTAGCATTGCTATATGTCAACAGTGAACAATGTGAAAAAGAAATTAAAAAGTTATCCCATATTCAATATTGAGAGAAGTTTATAGCTATCAGAACCTATATCAGAAAAGAAGAAAAACTTCAAATAAAAAATCTAAAGATGCATCTTAAAGAACTAGAAAAGTAATAGTGAACTAACTTCAAAATTAGCAGAGGAAAAGAAATAATGAAGATCAGAGCAGAAATAAATGAAATTGAAACAAAAATATACAAAAGATCACTGAAACAAAAAGTTGGTTTTTTGAAAAGTTAAACAAAATTGACAAACCTTTAGCCAGACTAAAAAAAAAAAAAAAAAAGAGAGAAGATCTAAATAAATCAAATCAGAAATGACAAAGGCAATACTGCAACTGATACTGCAGAAATTCAGAGGATCATTAGCGGCTACTATATGCCAGTATATGCCAATAAGTTGAAAAATCTAGAAAAAATGGTCAAATTCCTAGACAGGAACAACCCACCAAGATTAAATCAGGAAGACATCCAAAATTTGAACAGACCATTTCCAGTAATGAAAGCCCAGGACCCAGTGGCTTCACTGTTGAATTCCACCAAACATTTAAAGAACTAACACCAATCCGACTCAAATTATTCCAAAAAAAAATAGAGGAGGAGAGAATACTTTCAAATGCATTTTGTAAGGCCAGTATTACACTGACACCAAAACTAGACAAAGACACATAAAAATAAATAAGTAAATAAATAAATAAACTAACTACAGACCAATACTTCTGATATATATGGATGCAAAAATCCTCAACAAAATACTAGCAAACATAATTCGACAATACATTAAAAACATCATTAATCATGACCAACTGGGATTTATCTTCGTGATACACGGATGGTTTACCATATGTAAATCAATCAACGTGATACATCAAATCAGCAGAATGAAGGAGAAAAACCATATGATTATGTAAATTGAGGCTGAAAAATTATTTGATAGAATTTAATATCCATTCATGATTAAAAAAAAACCCTCAAAAGACTGGGACTAGAAGTAACATACCTCGACTGTACCAACATGGTGGCGCCCAGGTCCTAATTTGAGAAACGTGCATCTTGACTAATTCGGTTTTCTGTGGTTACGAGAGAAGAGCCCGGTTTATCGCGAGGGGCAGTCCCCAGGGCTGCCGAATCCAGCAGCGATGGAGAGCGGCACCGGGCCCTGCGGAGAAGAGCGCCCACGTGAAGTCCAGCAGACGACAGTCACTGAGGGGGCTGCCAAAATCCCAGCGCCAACGAGGTCTTTTATAACCTTGTGCAGGAATTCAGTCGGGACATGACGTGCTGTGATCATCCAGTTTGCTCGCATTCAGCTTGGGGCCAAAGGAATCCAGATCAAGGTGCCAGGAGAGAAGGATACACAAAAGGTGGTCGTGGACTTGTCAAAGCAAGAGGAGGAAAAGGTTGAACCGAAAGGGAGTGAAAACCTGGCCTCAGGAGACCAGCCTCGCACAGCGACCGTGTGGGAGATCTGTGAGGAAGGCCTGCATGTGCTGGAAGGCCTGGCAGCTTCAGGCCTACTTTCCATTCGATTTGCCCTAGAGGTGACTGGGGCTCAGATCTGTGGTTGCAAACGATACCTCTGCGGGGGCTGTGGATCTCATACGCTGGAATGTGCAGCTCAATGACGGGCCCACCTGGTACAGCCCAGCCAAGTAGATGCCTGGATGCTGATGTACCAGCACCAGAGGGTGTCAGAGAGGTTCGACGTCATCCATCTGGACCCCTATGGCAGTCCTGCCCCCTTCCTGGATGCAGCTGTGCTGGCTGTGAGTGAAGGAGAGTTGCTGTGCGTGACCCGCACGGACACGGCGGTGCTGGCGCGGAACAGTGGGGAGATGTGTTACAGCAAATTCGGTGCCATGGCCCTCAAGAGCCGGGCCTGCCACGAGATGGCCCTGAGAATTGTCCTGCACAGCCTGGACCTCCGCGCCAACTGTTACCAGCGCTTCGTGGTACCGCTGCTTAGCATCAGCGCCGACTTCTACGTGCGTGTTTTTGTCCGTGTCTTCACCGGCCAGCCCAAGGTTAAGGCCTCAGCCAGCAAGCAGGCCCTGGTGTTCCACTGAGTGGGCTGCGGGTGCTTCCACCTTCAGCGCCTCGGCAAAGCGTCAGGAGTCCCCCGCGGCCGGGTCAAGTCCTCTGTAGCCTGTGTTCCCCCCGTGACCCCGAGCGTGAACACTGTGGGCAGCGACACCAGCTTGGTTGCTCCATGTGGGCAGAGCCCATCCATGACCTGGATTTCGTGGGCTGTGTCCTAGAGGCTGTGAGCGCTAACCCCGGCCGCTTCCACACCTCGGAGCGGATGCCAGAGGGTCCTGAGCGTCATGACTGAGGAGCTCCCACAGGTGCCTCTGTACTACACCCTGGACCAGCTGAGCAGCACCATCCTCTGCAACACGCCCAGCCTCCTGCCGTGGCGGTCGGCCCTCCTCCACGCTCACTTCCGGGTTTCGCTCTCCCACGCCTGTAAGAACGCTGTGAAGACGTATGCCCCGCCTCCGCCCTCTGAAACATCATGCGCTGCTGGAAGAAGGAATGTCCGGTGAAACAGGAGCGACTCTCAGAGACCAGCCCAGCGTCCCGCATTCTCAGTGTGGAGCCCAGGCTGCAGGCCAACTTCACCATCCGGGAAGATGCCAACCCCAGCTCCCGCCAGCGACGACTCAAGCGCTTCCGGGCCAACCCGGAAGCCAACTGGAGCCCGCAGCCTCATGCCTGGCCAGGGAGCAAGGCTGCTGGCGAAGCTATGGAGGAGAGACGCAGGCTGCTTCCTAAGGAGTGGAAGGAGCCGCCTGAGGACAGGGCCCAGCGAGCTGCCCTGCTCAAGACATTTCCTTGCAAAAGGGTTAAGGAGGGGGGCGGGGCGCGGTGGCTCACGCCTGTAATCACAGCACTTTGGGAGGCCGAGGCAGACGGATCACGAGGTCAGGAGATCGAGACCATCCTGGCTAACACGGTGAAACCCCGTCTCTACTAAAAATACAAAAAAATTAGCCAGGCGTGGTGGTGGGCGCCTGTGGTCCCAGCTATTTGGGAGACTGAGGCAGGAGAATGGCGTAAACCCGGAAGGCGGAGCTTGCAGTGAGCCGAGATCACGCCACTGCACTCCAGTCTGAGTGACAGAGCGAGACTCCGTCTGTAAAAAAAAAGGGGGTTAAGGAGGGTACCTGTCAATGCGGGGACCAGTGCTGCTACTCCCACAGCCCTCTGACACCCGGGGTCTCTGCTGATGCTGCGCTTCACTGTCCAGAGACCTCCAATCACAGACCCCCTGGACCTGGGGCTGCCACTGGGCCCGGAATAGACTGAACCAATAAAGAGATGTCGGCTGGGCGCAGCGGCTCATGCCTGTAATCACAGCACTTTGGGAGGCCGAGGCGGGCGGATCACGAGGTCAAGAGATCGAGACCGTCCTGGCCAACATGGTGAAACCCTGTCTCTACTAAAAATACAAAAAATTAGCTGGGCATGGTGGCACACGCCTGTAGTCCCAGCTACTCGGGAGGCTGAGGCAGGAGAATCGCTTAAACCCAGGAGGCAGATGTTGCAGTGAACCGAGATGGCGCCACTGCACTCCAGCCTGGCAACAGAGCGAGACTCCGTCTCAAAACACACCCACACACACAGAGAGAGAGAGAGGTCACGTAACCTTCTCCCGATTAAAAAAAAAGAAGAAGTAACATACCTCAACATAATAAAAGTCATATATGACACACACACCCACAGCTAGCATCACATTGAGTGGGGAAAAGATGAAAGCCTTTCTTCTAAGATCTGGGACATAAAAAGGTTGCCCACTTTCACCACTGTTATTTAACATAGATTTCAAAGTCCCAGCTAGAGCCATCAGACAAGAGAAAGAAACAAAGTTCATCCAAATTGGAAAGGAAGAAGTCAAATTATTTTTGTTTGCAGATGATATAATCTTATATTTGGAAAAATCTAAAGACACCACAAAATAACTATTAGAATTACTAAACAAATTCAGTAAAGTTACAGACACAATATCAATATACAAACATTTCCAGGTCATTGGTCTAAGCAAAAATTTATTGAGTAATACCTCACCAACACAGGTAACCAAAGTAAAAGTGGACAAATGGTATCACATGAAATTTAAAAGCTTCTGCAGAGTAAAGCTTACAATAAACAAAGTGAAGAGTCAACCCACAGAACTGGAGAAAATATTTGCAAACTTCCCAAATTCAAACAACTCTATGGGGAAAAAAAAACGAATAAATCTATCCCCAAATCCCAAAATGGGCAAAAGATGTGAAAAGATATTGCTCAAAAGAAGACATAAAAATGGCAACAGGCATATGAAAAGGTGTTCAACATCATTGATCATCAGAGAAATGCAAATCAAAACTACAATGAGATATCATCTCATCCCAGTGTAAAATGGCTTATATGCAAAAACAGGCAATAACAAATGTTGTGAGGAAGTGGAAAAAAGGGAATGCTCGTACACTGTTGGTGGAAATGTAAATTAATGCAACCCCTTTGGAGAACAGTATGGAAGTTCTTCAAAGAACTAAAAATAGAGCTACTGAATCATGCAGCAATCTCGCTACTGTGTACATACCCAAAAGAAAGGAAAGCAGCATGTTGCAGAGATATCTGCACTTCCATACTTCTTGCAGCACTGTTCACAATAGCCAAGATTTGGAAGAAATCTGTGTCCATTGGGTAAAGAAAACATGGTACACATACACAATGGAGTACAATGCAGCCATAAAAAGGAATGGGATCCAGTAATTGCAATAACATGGATGGAACTGGAGGTCATTCTGTTAAATGAAATAAGGTACAGAAAGACAATCATTGCGTGTTTTCACTTATTTGTGGAACCTAAAAATCAAAACAATTGAACTCATGGAGATAGAGAGTAGAAGGATGGTTATCAGAGGCTGCAAAGGGTAGTGGTGGTTGAGGGGGAGGTGAGGATTGTTAATGGGTACAAAAAAATAGAAAGAATGAATAAAACCTACTATTTGGTCTCTTAACAGGGTGACTATAGTCAATAATAATGTAATTACACATTTTAAAAATAACTAAAAGTATATAATTAGATGTTTTGTTACACAAAGGATAAATGCTTGAAGAAATGGATACCCTATTTTCCATGATGTAATACTTGAACCAAAGTATCTCATGTACCCCATAAATATACACACCTGCTATGTATCCACAAAAATTTAAGATAAAATTTTTAAATAAAAAGAGAAATGTGACATATATATTATGTGATATATAGATCCACAAGTTTGCTAGGGGCTGATGGCAGTTTGAGCTCTCTGATTCTCATTAGTCTTTGATGTTTGGACTGGTAGTCCCTTTTCTCAGGAGCTTTAATCAAAACAATGTCCTTTCTCATCACTCTAGCCAGGAACTGTGAAGCTAAGTAAGGCCAAATCAATCTCCCTGCCCTTAATCTTGTATGTATTCCTAAGTGTGAATTGCCTACTACTATTTAATAGTCCTGTAGGATAAGTCTGATATCAGAATTTAGACTGCATTTCATCCTTGTTCTACTTGGAACTTTTTATGATTTCCCTCCTCCACTCCCCTCCAAGCTTAACCTCATCTCCTTTCCCCTCTCCTCTCTTTTCATCCCCACTCATGTACATATATACTACACACACACACACACACACACATATACATATATATCCACACACACATATACATATATATCCACACACACACACATATACATATATATCCACACACACACACACACATATATATGAGTGCTAAATAAGAGATTATAAGGAGAATATTTGACAATTAATAGGTAAATAAGTGACCATTGACTAGTAGCGATTATTAAGGCAGTTAGCATTTATTTTAACTCTCCATCCCAAAATAACAGAATATATATTATTCTTATCTGCACATTCACGTACTCTAAAATAGACCACACAATCAGACATAAAACAATCAAGTACTGAAATTGCTGGGTCAAATGGTATTTCTGTCTTTAGGTCTTTGAGGAATTGCCAGCTGTCTTCCACAATGGTTGAACTAATTTACACTCCCACCAACAGTGTAGAAGTGTTCCTTTTTTTCCACAACCCCACCAGCATCTCTCATTTTTTAGCTTTCTTATAATAGCCTTTCTTACTGGTGGAAGATGGTATCTCACTGTGGTTTTGATTTGCATTTCTCTAATGATCAGTGGTGTTGAACTTTTTTCCATATGATTGTTGGCTGCATGTATGTCTTCTTTTGAAAAGTCTCTGTTCATGTCTTTTGCCCACTTTTTAATGAAGATGTTTTTTACTTGTAAATTTGTTTAGGTTTCTTATAGAGGCTGGATATTAGACTTTTGTTGGATGCATAGCTTGCAAAAATTTTATCTTATTCTGTAAGTTTTCTGTTTATTCTGTTGATATTTTCTTTTGCTGTACAGAAACTCTTTAGTTTAATTAGATCCCATTTGTCAATTTTTGCTTTCATCGCAATTGCTTTGGGCATCTTTGTCATGAAATGTTTGCACGTGCCTGTGTCCTGAATGTTATTGCCTAGGTTGTCTTCCAGGGTTTTTATAGTTTTGGGTTTTACATTTAAGTCTTCAATTCATCTTGAGGTGATTTTTGTATATGGTGTAAGAAAGGGGTCCAGCTTCAATTTTCTGCATATGGCTAACCAGTTAACCCAGCACCATTTATTGAATAAGAATTTCTTTCCACATTGTTTGTTTTTGTCAGCTTTGTCAAATATCAGATGATTGTAGGCATATGGCCTTATTTCTGGACTCTCTATTCTGTTCTGTTTGTCTGTATGTCTGTTTTTGTATCCGTACCATGCTGTTTTGGTCACTGTAGCCCTGTAGTATAGCTTGAAGTCAGGTAGCATGATGTCTCCAGCTTTGTTTTGTTGCACAGGATTGCCTTGGCTATCCAGGCTCTTTTTTTTTGTTACATATTAGTAGGAGCTAAATGATGAGAGCACATGGACACATAGAGGGGAACAGCACACACTGGAGCCGTTTGGAGGGAGGACGGTGAGAGGAGGGAGGGGATTAGGAAAAATGACTAATGGTACTAGGCTTCATACATGGTTGATAAAATAATCTGTACAACAAACCCCCATGATACAAGTTTACCTATGCAACAAACCTACACTTGTACCCCTAAACTTAAAAGTAAAAAGAAGACTATCCAAAGCAAATTATAAGAATTAGAAATTATACCAAACACACTCTTGGACCACAGTGCAATAAAAATAGACATCAATGCTAACAAAATCACACAAATCCATACAGTTACATGGAAAGTAAACAACTCGCTCCTGAATGACATTTGGGTAGATAATCCAATTAAGTTAGAAATCAATTAATACTTTGAAACTAATGAGAACAAAGATATAACATACCAGAATGTCTGGGACACAGTCAAAACAATGTTAAGAGGGAAGTTTATAGCACTAAACGCCCACATTAAAATGTGAAAAAGATCACAAGTTAACAATCTAACATCATACCTAGAGGAACTAGAAAAACAAGAGCAAACCAACCCAAAAGCTAGCAGAGGAAATAACCAAAATCAGAGCTGAATTGAAGGAAATTGATACATGAAAAAAACACACAAAGGATCACGAATCTAAGGGTTGGTTCTTTGAAAAAAAAAATAATAAGATAGAAAGACCACTAGCAAGACTAATAAAGAAAAAGAGGGGGAGTGGCCAAGATGACTGACAAGAAGCAGCTAGTGTGCATGGCTCTCATTAAGTGAAACAGAAGGGGCAAGTAAACACAGCACCTTCAACTGAAACATCTAGGTACTCACATTGGGGCTAATCAAGGAAACTACTTGACCCACAGAGAATAAAGAAAACAAGACAGGACAATGGCCCATCCAGGAGCAACATGGAGCCAGGGAATCTGCCCCTCACCCAGGAAAGTGGTGAGTGAATGTGTGACCCCAGGAAACCATGCTTCTCCCATGGATCTTAGCAACCTTCAGGTCAGGAGATATCCTTGTGGACCCACTCCATCAGGGCCTTCGGTCTGACAGATGGAGCTATGTGGATTCCTGGCAGACCATCAGCTCAAGCATGCATGGAGAACTTGGAGCCTTACATACTTGGGCATTCTGGAAAAAGTAGTTGCAGCTCTGGAAAAGTGGGAGGTTATATCCCTGCACATACCTCTAGGTAGGAGGCTGAATCCAAGAGGCCGAGCAGAAACATCCTGCAGGCTTCACTTCCATGGCACCTCACAAGGTGAGATCCACTAGCTTGGAATTCCAGCCAGCTACCAGTAGTGGTATTGCACCTCCATAAGAAGGAGATCCCAGGTGGAGGGGAGCTGCCATCTCTGCTGTATGGGAGACTTAGCTGTTTCAGCCTTTGGCCATTGAATAGCTCGAGCTGACCAGGGGAAAAGGGATTCCCCAGTACAGCATAGCTGTTCTACCAAAACGTGGACAGACTGCTTCTTTAAGTGGGTCCCCAATCCCATTCCTCTTTCACTGAGTGGGACTTCCCAATGGGTGCCTCCAGCCACCCCTGTCAGTATTCTGCAGCTGGCTGACAGAGATTTATAACCTCCCTGGCACCAAGCTCCCAGAGGGAGGGGCAGGGCATCATCTTTGCTGTTTGGGTGACTTAGCCTTTCCAGCTTTCATGAATCTGAGTGTGCAAGGCAATTAGAGACTGAAGTGGACCCCCAGCACAGTACAGCTGTTCTACCAAAACACGGCCACAGTGCTTTTTTAAGCAGGACCCCAATCCCATTCCTCCTCACTAGGCAGGACCACCCAACCTGGCCTTAGGGCCAGGAACAGGCCCATGCCTCCCTGGGGCAAAGCTCCAAGAGGGAGGGACAGGCTGCCCTCTTTGATGTTTCACAGCCTTCACTAATGATGCTTCCAGGTACTGAAAAATCTGAGATGACAAGAGACTGTAATGGGTCCCAAGCATATAACAGGAACCCTACAGAAAAGCAGCCAAACTGTTATGTGGGTGCTCATTCCCATATCCCCTCAATGGTCAGGTACTCCAGGCCTGGGCCTCGAACCAACCCACACCAGAGCTATCAAGCCAGTAGCAACTTGGCAACTCCCCAGACAGAGCCTCCAGGGGCAACTAAAAGCCCCTCTGCCACTGCCTCTGCAGTGGAACTGCACTTGCCACCCTTGGACTAATGAATGAGCAAAGACCCTAAGTGCCTTATCCATACTTCCAACAAGCTGCAGCCGATCCAAGGAGAAGAGGTCAGTCAGTCTCCCTCAGGTCCCACACACGACCCACTGCACATCCCCAGAGAGGGAACCCTTGACTTAGGACAACAGCACAGACCCTCCACCCTGGGCCGATTGCTCTGAGTGATTGCTGACCTGCATCACTCTGGGGTGGAGCCCCCAGCAGACAAGCAAACAACCCTCAGCCACAAGCAGTACTAAGGTCCCTTCCTTTGCTGCCTCCAAGTTGAGGAAGGAACATAAACACCAAGATTTTCACAAAGCTGCTGTGGGCGGCCCAGGAGTGTCAAGTTATGATCTACAGCCAGCACTCAAGGGGGAGAACAATCCACACATTTGGAGCATTGAGAGGGAACACAGCTGCAACAGTGAGGAAACATAGGGGAGCCACACAACTGAGCAAGAGTCTACCAACTGACCAATAAGCCTAAGTGCCACTTGCTGGATCACACCTCAAAACTTCAACATCAAAATACCTAACATAAGCCCTCTGAAACCAGAGACAAGAAGTCAGCTTCAAATAAAGACTCTGCACAAAGCCTCAGCCTGCTGAAAATATCCAGAAAAGAAGTCTATTAACTCTACTCAATCTACACTGCAGTTAAAGGTACACTCACACACAGAAATGAGAATGAATCAATGCAAGAACCCCAGTAACTCAAATGGCCAGAGTGTGTATGTCCTCCAAATGATCACACCTATTCTCCAATGAGAGTTCTTAACCATGCTGAACTGGCTGGAATGACAGAAATAGAATTGAGAGTATGGATAGACACAAAAATTATTGAGATTCAGGAGGATGGTAAAACCCAATCCAAGGAAAATAGGAATGATAACAAAGTGATACAGGAGCTGAAGGATGAAATATCCAGTATAAAAAAGAACCTAACAGATCTGACAGAGCTGAAAAACACAATACATGAAATTCACAATGCAATCACAAGTATTAACAGCAGAATAAACCAAGCTGATGAAAGAACTTAAAAGACTGGTTCTCTGAAATAGGACAGTCAAAAAAAAAAAAAAAAGAAAAAAGAATAAAGAGCAATAAACAAAAACTCTGCAAAGTATGGGATTATGTAAAAGGTCCAAATTTATTAATCATTGGCATCCCTGAAAGGGAGGAGGAGAAAGTAAACAACTTAGAAAGCATGTTTCAATATATCATCTATGAAAACTTTTCCCCAACATTGCTAGAGAGGCCAACAGTCAAATTCAGGAAATAAAGAGAATTCCATCAAGATTCTGCACAAGAAGATCATCCTTAAGACATGTAATCATCAGATATTTCAAGGCCGTGGGAGCCCACCTCTTGCATCAGTGTGACCTGGATGTGAGACATGAGCCAAAGGAGGTCATTTTGGAACTTTAAGGTTTAATGGCTGCCTTATTGGATTTTGAACCTGCGTGGGGCCTGTAACTGCTTTCTTTTGGTCAATTTCTCTTATTTGGAATGGTTGTATTTACCCAATGTCTGTACTCACATTGTATCTGGAAAGTAACTAACTTGCTTTTGATTTTACAGGCTCATAGTTGGAAGGGACTTGCTTTGTCTCAGATGAGACCTTGAACTTGGACTTTTGAGTTAATACTGGAATGAGTTAAGACTTTGGGGAACGGCCAGAAGGGCATGATTGTGTTTTGAAATTTGAGGACATGAGATTTGGATGGGGCCAGGGGTGGAATGATATTGTTTGGCTCTGTGTCCCCACCCAAATCTCACCTTGAATTGTAATAATCCCCACATGTCAAGGGCAGGACCAGGTGGAGATAACTGAATCATGGGGGGTGGTTTCACCCATACTAGTCTCATGTTAGTGAGTGAGTTCTCATGAGATCTTCTTATGAGATCATGAGATCTCATAAGGGGCTCCCCTTTACCGGCTCTCATTCTCTCTCCTGCCTCCCCCTGTGAAGAGGTGACTTAGCCATGATGGTAAATTTCCTGAGGGATTTCCAGCCATGCAGAACTGTGAGTCAATTAAAGCTCTTTTCTTTATCAATTACCCAGTCTTCGGCAGTTCTTTATAGAAGCGTGAAAATGGACTAATACAGGCTGCCATAACAAAATAATCACAAATTAAATAACAGAAATGTATTTTCTCATAGTTCTGCAGTGTAGAATTTCACCATTAATTTGTCAGCAGTGTTGAATTTTTCTGAGGGCTGAGAGAGAATGAATGATCTGCTGTAAGCCTCTCTCCTAACTTCTGAGGTCTTGCTAGCAATCTTTCATAGTCCTTGACTAGTAGACACATCACCCCCTTCTCTGCCTTTATCATCACAGGGCATTCTTCCTGTTCACGTCTGCATTCA
Organism: Homo sapiens; assembly: GCF_000001405.40. NCBI lineage: Eukaryota > Metazoa > Chordata > Mammalia > Primates > Hominidae > Homo > Homo sapiens. The sequence continues at coordinate 145,640,640 of NC_000023.11, forward strand.
AATTTCTCCTTTTTATAAGGACATCAGAAATATAGGATTAGGGGCCTAATCTACTCTCATATGACCTCATCATATATAATTATGACTAATTATAAACCTACAAAGATCTTCTTTCCAAATAAAGTCACATGCTGAGGTACTAGAAATTATAACGTCAACATATGAATTCTAGGAGGAAACAAGTTACTGATACTGATACAAAAACAGTCACACATACAACCGTAACAGAATAGAGAGCCCAGAAATAAAGCCATACACAAGTTAATTCATAACAATAACTACCTCCTGTAAATGATTGGCAGGACAGGAGCAGGGAGGCAGTTGGGGAGGCAGTTGATAAGAGTAAATGGGAGCTCTCTACATTTTCAATCTGATACGGACATGGTAAATCTGCAGAAATAAATGAAATAGGAAACAAAAACATAGAAAATATCAATAAAACAAAGAGGTTTTTTTTAAACATCAACAAAATTGACAAACGTTTCGCTAGATTAAGAAAAAAAGAAGTTTCAAAAAATAAAATTAAAAATTAAAAAAGGACCTTACAACCAGTGCTACAAAAATTAAAAGTATAATCTTCCTCTGGTTTCCACAGGGAAGTGTCTCAGGATCCCTATACATACCAAAATCTGTGGGTTTTCAACTTCCTCATATAAAATGGCACAGTATTTACAGTATTTAGATATAAACTATGCACATCCTTGTGTATACTTTAAATTATCTCTAGATTTCTTATACAATACAAAGATTTCTTATACAATGTAAATCCTATGTAAATGATTGCTATTCTGCATTGTGTTTTAAACATTTGTATTATTTTTATTGTCATATTGTTTATTTTTTGTGAATATTTTTCTATCTAGAGTAAGTTGAATCTGCATATGTGGACCAACAGATATGGAAGGCCAACTGTATTCTGAGTCTATTATGAACAATTATACATCAACAAATTGGATAACCACTAAGAAACTGCTAAATTCGTAAAAACATACAGCCTTTCTGGACTGAATCATGAAGAAATAGTAAGTCTGAACAGACTTATAACTAGTAAGCTGATTGTTTAAGTAATCTAATGCCTCCCCAAAAAGAAAAGCACAGGATAAGATGGCTTCACTGGTGAATTCTACCAAATACTTAAGAAGAATTAATGCCAGTTCTTCTCAAACTCTTCCAAAAGATTGAAGAGGAAAAAAACACTTCGAAAGTCATTTTATGGGGCCAGCGTTACCCTGATATTGAAGACAGGCGAAGCCAATTTAAAAAAAGAAAACTTTAGGAGAATATCCCTGATGAATATAGATGCAAAAATCTTCAACAACAATATACTAGCTAAACAAATTCAACAGCACATTTAAAAGATAAAGCATCATGACCAAGTGGGATTTATCCTTAGTATGTAAGTATGGTCAACATATAAAAATCAAACAATGTTTTATACCACCTTAAAAGAACAAAGTATAAAAATCACATGATCATGTCAATAGATTCAGAAAAAGCATTTGATGAATTTGACATCCTTTTATGATAAAATCATGCAACAAGCTAGGAATAAAAGAAAATTACTTCAACATAATAAAGGGCATATATGAAAAGCTTGCAACTAACATCATACTAAATGTTGAAAACCTGAAAGTGTTTTCCCTAAGGTCAGAAACAAGATAAGGATACTCACTCTTGGCAATTCTACTGAACATAGCATGAGAAGTGCCTGCCAGAGCAGTTAGACAAGAGGAATACATAAAAGATATCCAAATCAGAATAGAAGTTAAAATGATCTCTCTTTGCAGATGATATAATCTTGTATGTAGAAAATGCTAAATATTTCACCAAAAACTGCTATAACTAATAAGCCAATTCAGTAAAGATGCAAGATACAAAATCAACATTAAAAATTAATTGTGTGTCTATGCACTAACAACAAATAATCCAAAAAGGAAATTAAGAAAGAAACCCAATTTTCAATATTATCACAAAGAATAAAATATTTGGGAATAAACCTAATAAAGGAGGCCAAAGACCTGTACGCTGAATGGTACAAAACATTGTTGGAAGAAATTAAAGAAGACCCAGATAAATTGAAAGTCATACCTGGGTCATGGATTGGAAGATTTAATATTGTTAAAATGCCCATACTACTCAAAGCAATCTACAGATTCAATTCAAAATATATCAAAATCTCAATAGCATTTTTCACACACAAAAAGTGAAAAGCAATCTTAAAATTTATACGGAGTCTTAAAGTACCACACATGTCAAAAACAATCTTGAGAGAGAATAACAAAGCTGAAGACACAACCCTTTCTGATTTGAAAATATACTACTTTGCTACAATAATTACAATAGTATGGGAGTGGCATAAGAGAAGACATAGACAAATGTAACCAAATAGAGTGCCCAGAAATAAGCTCATGTGGATATGATCAAATGGTCTTCAACAAGGTTGCCATGACTACACAATGGGAAAAGAAATAGTCTCTTAAACAATTGATGTTGTGGAAACTGAATATCCACATACAGAAAATTGGAATTGGACCCTTATCTTACATTAGCCACAAAAATAGACTCAATGTAGATTAAAGTCTTAGATATAAGACTTGAAACTATAAAACTCCTAGAAGAAACATGGGGAAAAACTCTTTGACATTGGTCTTGACAATGATTTTTTGGATGTGACCCCAAAAGCACAGGAAACAAAAGCAAAATTAGACAAGTAGGACTACATCAAACTAAAAAGCTTCTGAACAGCTAAGAAAACAATCAACAGATTGAAAAGTCAGCCTACTGAATGTAAGAAGAAATCTTTACAAATCCTACGTCTGATAATGGATTAATATCCAAAACAAAATGAACTGCTACAACACAAAAGCATGCGCGCGCGCGCGCGCACACACACACACACACACACACACACACACACACACATAACCTGATTAATGAATGGGCTATGGACTTGAATAGACATTGCTCCAAAGAAGACACACAAATGGCCAAGTATGTGGAAATGTGTTCAACATCATTAATTATCAGAAAAATGCAAATTAAAACCACAATGAGATATCTCCTTCCACCTGGTAGGATGACTATTATCAAACAAATAAGAGATAACAAAGGTTGGTGAGGGTATGGAGAAAGGGGACCCTAGTACACTGTTGGTGGGAATGTAAATTGCTGCAGCCATTATGAAAAACAGTATGAAGTTTCCTCAAAAAATTAAAAATAAGACTGCAAAATGATCCAGCAATACTATTTTGGGATATTTATCCAAAAGAATTGAAATCAGCATTTCAAGAAGTTATTTGCACTCTTATGTTTATGGCCACATTATTCACAATAGCCAAGAGGTGGGAACAATCTAAATATTCATCAGCGAATGACTATGTAAATAAAATGTAATATATACAAACAATGGAATATTATTCAGCCTTAAAAAATGGAATGGAATTCTGTCATATGCTAGAACATGGGAGAAAGGGCTATGGACTTAGTCCCTTAAATCAATGGGGCTATGGACTATGGGGCTAAGGGGCTATGGAATTAGCCCCTTAGATTAATTAGGATACTAATCTAAGTGAAATAAGCCAGTCATAGAAGGATAAATACTGCATGACTCCACTTATATGAGGTATGTAAAGTAGTCAAACTCATAGAAATAGAAAGTAGAATGGTAGTTGCAAGAGGTGAAGGAGAGGGGGAAATGGGAGTTACTACGTGATAAGTATAGAATTTCAGTCATGAAAAATGAAAAAATTCTAGAGATCCATTGTACAACACTGTACTTATAGTTAACAATTCTGTACTGTGCACTCACAAATTTAAGGAGGTAAATATCATGTTATGTGTTTTTTTTACCACAATAAAACAAAAATATCTCAATAGTTTACCTAATTATTACCTATTAAAATTCCTTTCTGTCTTGAAAGAAAGAGCAAGGAAGGAAGGAAGGAAGGAAGGAGGGAGGGAGGGAGGGAGGGAGGGAGGGAGGGAGGGAGGGGAAGGAGAGAGAGGGAGGAAGGAAGGGAATCTTTTGGTCTTTCATTTGTCTTTCTGTTACTGATTTGTAGTTAAACTCATTGTGGTCTTAGACATGCTTTGTATGATTTCTATTCTTTTACATTTGTGCTTTATGGCACAGAATGTGGTCCTTTTGGGTGAATGTTCCATGAGAGCTTCAGAAGAATATACTTTCTGGTGTTCTTATATGGATAGTCTATAAAAGTTAATTAGATCCAGCTGATTGGTGGTGCTGATCAGATCATCTGTAATCTTACTGATTTTCTCCCTGCTTTATCTATCAGTTATGGAGAGGAGTATCTCTATACCTATCATAGTCTCCAAGTATAATACCTGGTTTCACTATTTCTACTTTTTTATAACTTTTTGCCTCATGTTTTTTGACAGTTTGTTTCTAGGGACATACAGATTTTGGATTGGGATGTCTTCTTGGAGAATTGACTCTTTCATTGCTGAATAAACCTAACAATATTCTTTATTTCTTCATTGTTTGAAATTTATGTAGTAATTCCAGTTTTCTTCTCATCATGAATTAATGTGGCATGTCTTTCTCAATTTCTTTACTTTTAATCTATCTGAGTCTTTACATTTAAATTGAGTTTCATGTACCTGAGATAGAAGTGGGTCTTTTTTTAAAAAAATTCATTCTGACCATATTCTTCCTTAATTGCTGCTTTTATATCATTCACATTTAAAGTGATTACTGATATAGTTGGTTTAAAATCTAACATTTTTGTAGCTTGCATGTTGCTTACTTCTTGTATTAAAGATTTTACATTATTAATTATCGTTAGCTTAAATTTCTCATCTTATAACTTCAACAACTGTGTCATATGTTAAGTCTGGCTCTGATATTTGTCTCTTCATGCTGTCTTTTTATTGTGTTTTGGCATGTATTGTAATTTTGTGTTAAAAATCAGACATATATTGGGTTATAGGAACTAAGATAAATAGGACTCTAGTGAGAATTTAGTTTAAGCTGTCTAGGAAGTAAGCTGTGCTTAAGGTTTTTTGTAGCTGGAGGTTCCAGAGGCTTCATATAACTCTAATATTGTTGTTTATGTCTCCCTTCTTCACTTTGGTACTTCCTGTCTATTTCTTCTTAGAAAGTCTGCATCTTGTAGCTCTTTAATTTGTAATCCACTGTTATTATATTAAAGTCCTGTTTGTGTGCCAGTAGGGTGGGTGTGGTGAGATTATTTATATTCTTATAATTAAATCCCAGTCTTATATTCGGCCTTTGTCTCTGGGATATGACTTTCACCCAGAGGCAAGTAGGACTTTTCTGATTATCTAAAAATGTCCTCCTTGAATGATCAACCATGTACCAGATTGACTATAGATCTGTTTGGCCATAGAGATAACATAAAATAAACAACAAAATGTGAAGAATAAGTGACAGATCTAACATTTTGAGGAGTTCAAGTTTTCTTCCATTGCAAGGAGTAAGACATAGGTAGGTACAGCCCACACACTTAGAGTTTGAAGTTGCTATGAAATCAAAAGCTCAGTTTTCTGTGTTTGGCTCCTGTATTTGTTTCCTAGGACTTCTATAGCAGGTACCATGCATGAATTGGGTTGCTTAGCACAACATTTACTGTCTTACAGTTCCAAAAGCTAGAAATCCAAAATTAAGGTATTGTCAAGGCCACGATCCCTCTGAAACCTGTATGGTAGAATCCTTCCTTGCCTCTTGGCTTCTGGTGGTAGTGGCCATCAATCCTTGGCATATTTTAGCTTGTATAATGTCCCTCCAATCTCTTCCTCTGTTATCTAAATCTTCACACGGCCATCTTCCCCTTTTATACATCAGTCTTATTATATGTAGTACTCATCATAATGGCCTTGTCTTAATCCGATTACATCTCCAAAGATCTTCCTCCCAAATAAGATAACATTCTCAGATACGAGGGGTTAGGACTTCAACATGTGCAATTTGGGGAACACCACTGAAATAACAACTCCCTTTTTGTTATTTCTCTGGTCCGTCCTTCCTATCTGTTCAATGTCGTAAAATAATGTTGCAGTAGCCTCTAGGTGAGAAGCCTTCTGTTCCTACTCTGGAAAGACGTTGTAATAGGAGATGAATTCTCAAAGCTCTAAAAGTTCTAAAAGACATGAGCTACACAGGATGGTTGACTTTGGCAGTCTCTCGCCCAGACCTTAGAAAAAAATACCCACTTTGGCTAAGCCCAAGGGTAAGAGACCAAGAAATAGTCTGAGACAAAAGAAAAGGCAACTTTTCACAATTCAAATAATATCCAGCTCAGTTGACTATAATAGGGAGGAGTTCTCTAGGTCTTAGGGCCAAAGCTGTACATAATATAAGGGTATTTTTTTCCTTCTACATTCATTCATTAGAGATAATGGTTCCAGTTAAATGAAAAACTCTGCCTTTCTGCTTAAACTTTGATAATTTCAGATGGACGAAGGTAGACCTGAATTAGAGTTAGCTTGTAATAGTAAAACAGAGTTGAATGGCTATATATAAGAAGTAGGACAAGTTTGAAGTTACCTGGAGAAATCTAGGAGAAACATGGTGAAGAGAAAAACTGACAGAGGGGTGGGGGGGGAGGAGAGAATAGAGGAGCTATTAAGATGTATGAGACTGAGGCACTATGTAAATTGCAGTAAAATTTCCCTGATGGTAGGAAGGAAAAGAAAGTTTTTATATGTTGTTATCTCTGTTCTTGGTAGATTAAATGATCTCCACCCACGATGCACACAACCTAATGCCCAGTACATGGCAAAAGAGACCTTTCAGATGTGATTAAATCGAGGATCTTGAGCATGGAGATTATCTTTAATTATATGGTGAGCCCAATGTAATAGCAAGGATCCTAATAGGAGAGAAGCCAGAAGATCAAAGCAAGAAAAAGCAGATGGAATAATGGAAGCAGAAGTCTGAGCGATTCTCTGAATATAGAGAAATGATCCATGATCCCATCTCTAGAAGCTGACAAAGGCAAGTAAACACATTCTTCTCTGCAGCCTCCAGAAGAAACCAGACGTGCTGACACTTTGATGTTAGTGAGATTTCTTTCTGACCTCAAGGGCTGTAAAAAATCTGTTTTGTTTTGAACCACTAAGCTTGTGTCAGTTTGCTATAGCAACGATAAAAAACTAATACAATCAGGCATGCCAAAATGTTGAATTTGACTTTTTTTTCTGTTGCTGAAAGGTACACCACTCCTCTGTGCCCTTCCACTCCAGTCAAATTTGTGAACTTTAACATACCAGCACATATTTTGTATGAGTATGGTTGGTGTGTATATGCATATGTGGCAACTGACGAAGAGGCTGGGGTGCATTACTTTATCAGTGTTACACAGAATGGAAAAGGCAATGTGCAGGGAGGAGCTCTGAGACGGAGGTGAGCCTAAATGCATAAGACCCCATCAACAGCCCAGAAGTTAAGGGGAGGCCTTTGTGAATCTGGTGCCAGGATAAAATCCTGTCTAGAGGTGCACTGCACAACCTCTCTCTAAAAGACATATTTAACAGAGAGTTCTCATGGCAAAAAATAAAATCTAATGGTGAAAGGGGCAAGAATCGATGGGGTGATGATTTTCAGCTACATGGAAACTTTCATGTTTTCATAGATACTGTTTGCTGAAAAAAATTTTGCAGTAGGAAATAAATAGATTTCATGGACTGATTGACTGATGTACACAAACATAAACTTCTCTTAATCAAAGGCAACTAATTATCTCGAGATTTAAAAAATCCCAAAATCTATTTGCGCCTTGTATAATACCTGTCTTTTAGAATTCTGTTGTTCAGAAACAAAGTATCTCTCCGAAAAAAACAAATTCTGTTGTAATACAGTGCTACAAATGGATACACATTTAGGTGGGAACTTATACACACTGGAAAAGGGCTTCAGAAATTATATGTTTAATATAATTCTAAGTTATCTAAAACAGTTAATGCTATTTTAATTACCAGAGCAGTTGAGGGTGGAGATTTTAGTACCATGGTGGGATACAGCCTAAAGGATTCAGAATAAGCTGAATTCTATATTACAATCATGAACAAAAGACAAATGTTTCAATGTATAGAAAAATGATTGGAAGTTAATTTTGGGGACTTTGCACTTATTTGGGTAAAACATAAGCTTTATCTCACTGAATATGAATATGTATAAAGAATATTTCTTGTGCATCTGGGATGAACTACAGACTCTATATAATGACACCAGTGGTTTAGTGCTAATCTCTTTGGTGCCTAGTTCACATCTCTCATTTATGGTTGTTTCCTCTAATGGCTAGCACATTGTAGGCTCAACAATTTAATAATTATTTATAAAAATAAGTGAAGAAATTATAATTATGAGAGATCAGTGTTTTATAATTTTTATAACAAATTCATTTTCCCCTGTATTTAGAATAGTTTATGATTACACATTTTGCTTTGAGTAAAGGTGCCATCTGTAAATATACAGGAATACTATTGAATTAACCTCTATATTAATTTCCTATTGCTGCTCTAACAAATTAACTGGAGTGTAGTAGCTTAAAACAACACAAATGTATTCTCTTACAGTCTAGACGGCAGGAGTACAAAATGAGTCTCACTGGACTGAGATAAAGGTATTAACGGGGTGATATTCTTTCTGGAGGATCTAGAGGGAAATCCATTTTCTCACCTTTTCCACCTTCTAGAGGCCATCTGCATTCCTTAGCTTGCGGCCATTTTTACCTTCAAAGCCAGTAGCATATTATTCTCAAGTCTCTCTCTGACTCTGACCTTCTGCCTCTATCCTATAAAGACCCTTCGCATTACATTGGGCCTGCCCAGATAATCTAGGATAACGTCCTTATCTCAAGGTCAGTTGATTAGAAACCTTATTTCTCTATACCACCTTAATTCTCCCTTGCCATGTAATATAATATATTCAAAACTTCTAGGGATTACATCATAGACATTTTTGGGGGAAAAATTATTCTGCATACCACAACTTCTCAAATTTCTCAAACTCTCTTTCCTGGGAACTGAATCTTAGTACTGATCCAATCACCCTTACACACCTCTCACACACATGGTTACAGTTATAGGGCTCCTGGAACACATGCTCATATAACATGACACTCTTACTCCAACCCTACTCATAGACCACAGTTGACTGAACCAGATAAAGATGGGCTTCTGACACCATTTGTGTGAATGTTTGTTTCCTAAATAATTTAAAGCTGGGAATAGAATTCCAATTTCATTTTGACTGAATGATACAGACATGCAGAATGTCACGGAGGAAAAAATCTACCCAAGCTGTACCAGCCCCAAGTTCCAGATCACTGCTGAGACTCGGTTGCAATATTGACCTTCAGCTCCAGGAGACATCTAGTATACTTGTAATAATTCCCCTGTTTTGCCTATGCTAATTAGAATATGCTCTTTTTACAACAAAAAGATTGTATTCAATAACATTTATACAATATTGTTATTACTAAGAGGTACTTTATAAATGACTGAATATATAAATGAAAATATTAAGTGAAATAATGTGTTCAACATCATATAATGGTTCACAGCAAATGCCAAGGCAAGAAGCTAGTTCTCTTGCCTTTCAGTGCAATGCTGTCTCCTCTTCCTTGTAAAAGTACTAGGTAGAAGTAAACATCAGCCTAAGGTCAATGCTACATTTGGATACAATCCACCCATGGGTACTTAAATGATCAAGAAACCAATAAAAATTATTTGGAAGCAACTCTACATTATATTTAAAATATAGCAATTTTTCATCTAGGAGAGTACTATTTCTTTCAAAAATACGTTTAAAAATTTATCTTCCAAGAATTTGTTCAGGAAAAATAGCTATTGGTACTTGGCTTATTACCTGGGTGATGAAATAGTCTGTACAACAAACCCCTGTGACATGATTTTACCTACATAACAAACCTGCACATACACCCCTGAAGCTAAAGTAAAAGTTTAAAAAAGGAAAAGATCAAGCTATAAACTGTACATATGACAGATCTTAACTTTGAAAATACAGTTATTCAAAAATAAATGGATATTTACAAAAAAATAATTATTCAGTAGTTAAGTTACATGTGAACATGTAATCAAAACCTATTTGTAAAGAAACTCTGTTATTTCTCTCCTCTTACAAATGTTTCATATGTGCCCCTCCTGTCACACGGCACTCATCGATTCTGTGGTCTATTCACCACAGAATATCACCACTACCAGTGACAGCCAGGATTTTTGTTCCTTCATTTCCTTAGGGCTATGAAAAAAAGGTGCCACATACATAAGGTTTTTAACATATATCCACAAGTAGAAGTGGCATGGTATAGTGAATTTTGTAATGTGTTCAACCATTTTTAGTAACCTTTAAATATAACACAAACACACATATACATTTTTGCACTGCACATATATACATACACATAGACAAAAACACTAGAAGGAGGTACACCAAAATTCAAATTGTTATTATCTTTGGGCAATGAGATTACAAATTACCATGACGGTTTGTTTCCTTCTTTATATTTTTCTGTATTTTGTTGCATCTACAAACGAACATGCATTTCTTACATAATAGTAAACAGTAAATTTTATAAAGATAAAAAACAAACAAAACCTAAAAAATGGTTATTGTCAAACAATTGTTCACTTCTTCTAAATGGCTTTCTAATCTATTCAGTATATCCCCTTTCCACACTGCTAACCTGGAGCAGATGGCTCAATACCCCCCACCTCAATGTAAAGGTAATTCCTGGAACTGTGGCGAGGCCCAGCAGTTTGCTTTCCATGTCACTACCTGCACAGTGAGACACTTATTTGATTCAGAGAAATGGCAGATTATTTATAATTTTCATTGTTTTTATAGTATTCTTAAGATAAATCTTAGTGAAGAATTCCTCATCTATAACCAAGAATTCTGAGTATTGAATGTATAGGAAAACTAAAATATGTGGGAAAATAAAGTGTAAGAAAACATACTGGTTTTACAGTTGGTTTTGATCCACAGTGCATTGAATTTCCATAATACGCCAATGTACAACAAGTATTCTTCCAATAAAAAACTTACATTGCAGTAATTATCTACTCTGTCGCTATTAAGGCTCTTCTACCAACATCACTTAATGAATCTTCCCGTACAGTCTATGATAATAATACAAATTTAAATTCAACAAATATGATATGCAACAGCAGCAATTTGCAGAAGGAGTGGGAGAAAATCTAATTTAGAGCAGATTCCTGCCTTCAAAGAAGTGACATTCTAATAGGTGATACATGGACAAATGGGAATGATTGCCAGTACATGTTTGAGCTTGTAAAGTACAATACATAGGGCTAAACTGAAATCTATAAAATGGGGGCAATGGCCTGGACAAGTGCTTTTCAAACTATTACGAAGATCCTTAATTTTTTTTTAACTCAAAATGTGGCAGGGCCATAGAAAAATATTTGGGGAAATTGAATCAACTCGAAATGTGACAGGGCCATAGAGAAATACTTGGAGAAATTGAATCAACTGGGCTCTAATAGAAAGCTGTATATAAGAAGTCATATAGCTGACATATTACCAAAGAACTATGGGGACAGCAAACATCAAAATATCAACTCCAGATATAGATACTGGTGAATGTTATAGAGAACATGTCACATGAGTCTGGTCTTGGAAAAAGGGAATTTCAATTGGAAAAGATCGAGAAAAAGAGCATTCCAAGTTGAAAGAATCACATGAATAAAGTTGAGATATGAAAGTTCATGCACATTTTGAGAATGTGAAGTTAGTGTCACTTAGAGTGTGAACATATCAGAAACAGAGTAGTAAAGACAAGACTGGAAATGTCAAGGACCAGCATGCATGGTCATAGTTGTGTTTGAAAGTTTATTTGGGAATCATTTTATCCAGACTTAGAGCTTTAAATTTCATCCAGATGTTTATGACTCCTAAATGTGTATCTCCAGTACTATCCTTTTTCATAACTTCCAGAATCATCTAACCAACTTCCCCATAAGCATCTCCACTTGGGTGTCTAATAAGTTTCCTTAAATAACATGTCCAAAAATCAAGAACTTGTTCTTCCCTCGGTCTTTACTAATTTGCTAAATGACAACTCTAGGCACCTAATTACTCGTATGAAAAACCTGAGTGTTGTGTGATATTCTTATCTCCCATATTAAATCCATCCTTCATCCATGTAAACGCTAACTTTAAATATTCTAAGTCTATCCATTTCTCACCACCTCATTTTCTGAATGATCATCATCTCTCAAATGGACTACAGTAATAGTCTGACAGGTTTCTCGGTTTCCAATCTCTCATCTAGCATAGACTAGACTAGACTAGACTAGATGTTTTGTATGAAATATTTTCACTTCCATCTCCTTCACCTCCATGAAAAGCATGCATTTTCTGACTCATTGGCCAATGGAATATTAGGAAATGTGACAGAAGGAGGGCCTGAAATGAGTGTGTTTGGTATTGTCCTCTTGTGCTTCTGCTATTTCCATGATAGGACTATGCTTTGAATAGCTGCTAGTTCAAAGAAGATGACAGACATGGAGTATACTTGGGTTCAACCCACAGCCAATTCACATGCTTAAGGAAGACACAATGCTAAATTCCATATGCTCCTGAGTTTTGGAGTGGGTTGTTTCTCAGTATTATTGTATCAATCACTTATTGATATAGACTCCAACATTCTGTAAACCACACAGCCACCCTTTAATGCTTAAATCAGACTATGGCACTCCACTGCTATCAACACTATAATAACTTTATACGTGCTTAGAATAAAATTCCATATCTATACTACTGTCTCTAAGCACCTTGCCTCTGGTTCCTGACTACCTTTTATTCACTTCATGTCAGCCACGTGGATTACACCAAGTAGGCTCACATCTAAGGGGATTTACAGTTCCAATTCCTTCTGTCCTGTATATTTTTCCCAGGAATATTCATATGATTTACTCTTTTACTTTATTAAAATGTTACCTCTTCAGATATACCTTAACTGACTAACCAATCTAAATATTTCCCTCACTAACACACCAAGGAACCACTTGTTCACCCGCTTTATTTTTTCTTCCTAGCACTTAACACTGTTTTAAAATATATAATATATTTGGCTGTTGCTTAATTTTAGGTCTCCTCCAATCAAAAGAAAGCTCCTTGAGAAGTTGTTCTGTCCTGTTAACTGTTATATCTCCAGTGACTAAAAGCTGTCTGGGAAATAGTAATCACTCATTGAATATCTGTCAGATAGGAAAGAAGGAAGAGAACATTTTATAGGAGATATTGGTAAGAAAAATATATATGTAATTGTAAAGGTTAAGAAGTTATTACAATAGTTTTGTGAAGGATTCTAGATAAGGGCAGAAAAACTGGAAAGAAGGGAGACTATGAGATATTTTAGAGGTAGAATCCATGAAATTTAGTGGTTGACTGAACGCCACAATCCTGCAGCAAAGATATATCAAATATAATTATGAGAGGTCAAGTTAAGGAATCTGCAAAGGTAATTGTGACATTCAGACATGAACTCACGTCAGCAATGTACCTGAACACCAACTCTATGCCATATAGTGTGCTAAGTCTATATAAGCAGTTGACAACTTTTAGACAGGAATCATGTCTGATTTATTATTTATTTATTTATTTGAGATGGAGTCTTGCTCTGTTGCCCAGGCTGGAGTGCAACGGTGCAATCTCGGCTCATTGCACCCGGATTCAAGTGATTCTCCTGCCTTAGCCTCCTGAGTAGCTGGCATTACAGGCATCTGCCACCACGCCCGGCTAATTTTTGTATTTTTAGTAGAGATGGGTTTTCACCATGTTGTCCAGGCTGGTCTCGAACTCCTGACCTCAGGTGCTCCGTCCTCCTCAGCCTCCCAAAGTGCTGGGATTATAGCGGTGAGCCACCGCGCCAGCCCTATGGCTGATTTATCTTTGTGCTCCAGATAAATCAGACATGGCTCCTGTCTAAAAGTTGTTAACTGCTTATATAAAAAGGCAGAATTTCATTGAAATGTGCTGAAGTGCTATGATAGATATTTGCACACGGGGGCAACACACTTCCACACATAAGAATGCAGATAGAAAACATAGGAACAGAAGCAGGTTTGCAGGAAAATATAAGTTTGGCTCTAGTTATGATGGATTTGAAACTCAAAATGAAGATGCCAGCAGTTCACATTATCTGAAATTTGAGGGCAAGGATTTGGTTAGATATCTGGAATCATCAGAGCTATTAACAAAGGAGTGATTGGTTTGGAGGAGATCATCTCAGGAGAGTACATGAACAAAAGAGCAGTGACCTAACAACAGAACTCTGGGATGCTAAATAGCTAGGAGATGAGCAGAGAAATAGAGGACTGTGAAGGAGATTAGATAGAAGATGTCAGATGGGAAAGGAAATAAGAGAGGGAAGTTTGGCTGGAGCCAAAAGAAAAACCAATTTCAAGCAGGAAGAAATTATTGAGATTGGAAGACATCTTCTAGAAGGTCATTCATTTTATAGTTGAACTAAACTAACAATAACATGACCTATCCATACTTCTATGTATCCCTTCATCAACTCATTTATTCAATAAGTATTTATTGAGCACCTACAATTATGCATCAAGTAGGATGCTTTATTCTGATAAATATAAAGGTCTTTCCCTCATGTGGTCTTTAGTCTAGCTAGGGAAATATGCATTAACAAGTTATTTAAAAAATACATACATAGGGTGATGTCACCACAATGGTGCAGTGTAACTACTGGCCCTCTTTGCTCCCCCCACACACAAAGAAAAACATATATAGACAGCTTTCAAAAGCCAAAATAGCTCAGAGAGGACTTGAGGGCCCATTAAAGAATCTGGAGCAACACAGTGGAGCAAAATAAAACCCAGAGATTATCCACATAGAAAGGATTGCTAGTGAGATCAGCATATCTGAGGCACCAGATGACTGCTAGGAGCAAAGAAAGGCAGAAACTATCAATATCAGCCAAGTGACAAGAATCATGTTGGTCACCATTGGCCTTCTCTGCAGAGAACACATGCATCTCCTGCCACTGAGGTAAGCAATATCCATTCCCACTGGAGAACCCCATATAAGGAGAAACAGCTACACAGCCCTCCCCACCCAAGAAGCAGTTTCTCTTGATCAGCCTTGGGAAAGGATCCTCCACCTCTTCCATCCCTAACCCCAGAGCCATGTTCTAACAAAAATTGTTAGGACAAACAAATGAATTCAGTAAAGTTGAAGAACATGAAATCAACATACAAAATCAGTACTATTTCTATGCACTAACAACAAACTATTCAAAAAAAATTTTATCTAATTTCAATAGATACAAAAAAATTTTAAACCCAGGAATAAATTTGACCAAAGGGGAAAAAGATCTGAACACTGAAAACTACAAAATGTTGATAAAAGAAATTGAAGAAGACATGAATAAATGGATAGATATCCAGTGTTCATGGATTAGAATTATTAATAGTGTTAAAATGTTAATACTACCCAAAGTGATCTACAGATTCAATCAATATCAAAATTCCAATCTCATTTTTAACAGAAATAGAAAAGACAATCCTAAAATTTGTATGGAACCCCAAAATATCCGGAATAGCCAAAGCAACCTTGAGCAAAAAGAACAAAGCTGGAGGCATCACACTACCTGACTTCAAAATATACAACAAAACTATGCCAATCAAAACATCATGGTACCTGCATAAAACAGACACACAGACTAATGGGACAAAATATAGAAATTAGAAGAAATATCCATGTATATATGGTCAATTGATTTTTGAATAAGGCAATAAGAAAAGAAAGAACAGTTCCTTCAATAAATGTTGGTGAGAAAACTAGATATCCACACACTTAAGAATTATATTAGACCCACATCTCTATATACAATAATCAACTCAAAATTGATTAAGGACTTAAATCTAATTACCACAAACTTTAAAACTACTAGCCAAAAACATAGGAGAAAAACTTCATGACATTATTCTGGGTAAAGATTGTTTTCAAGATGATGCCAAAAGCACAGGCAACTAAAGCAAAAATATACAAATGGGATTACATTAAACCAAAAACCTTCTATGTAGCTAGAGAAACAATAAGCAGAGTAAGGAGACAACCTACAGAATGGGAGAATATGTTTGCAAACCATAATCTGATAAAAGGTTAATATTCACAATATATAAGAAATTCAACCCAGCCAAAACAAAAATAGCCCAATTAAAAATAGGCCAAAGACCTCAAAGAAGACATACAAATAGCAAAAAAGTGTATAAAAACATGCTTAACATCATTAGTCATCAGAGAAATGCAAACAAAACCACAACGAGATATTATAACCGTTAGAATGGCTATGATCAAAAAGACAAAAGATAACAAGTGGTGGCGTGGATGCGGACAGATAGTAACCCTTGAACATTGTTGGTGAAAATGTAAATTAGTAGAGCCATAATAAAAAAACTGTAAAGGTTCCTCGAATAAATAAAAATAGAACTACCATATGATCCAGTAATTTCACTACTAAGTAAATATTCACATGATATTAAATCAGTATGTTGAAAGATACCTGCAATCCCTTGTTTTTGCAGCATTATTCAGAATTGCCAAGATACTAAATCAACCTAAGTTTCCATCAACACGTGAATGGATAAAAAACTGTGGTATATATACATACTAGAATATTTTTTCTGCCTTTAAAAGGAAGGAAATTCTGTCATTTGCACCTGTGTGGTTGAACCTGAAGCACATTACGTTAAGTAAAATAATCCAGGACAGAAGGGAAAATATCAAATGATTTCACTTATATGTAGATTATAAAAAAGTCAAACTCATAGAAACAGAGAGTAAAGTGCTTGTTAACAGAGCTTGAGGGTAGGTGGATTAGGAAGATATTGGTCAAAGGACACAAAATTTCAGTTAGACAGAAGGATAAACTCAAGAACTTATCCTTCTAATTTCAGTTAGAGCTTTATCTTTCTGTCTAAAATTTTGTGGTGAGTACAGTTAATAAAAATGTATCTTATATATGAAAATTGCTATGAGAAGAGTGGGCATTAAGTACTCTCAGCATGAAAAAAATAATAAGTATGTGAGGTAATAATACATTAATTAGCTTGATTTAGCCATCTCACACTGCATACATATATCAAAACATCATGCTGTATATCATAGTATATAAGATGTTATTTGTCAATTGAAAACTAAATTTAAAAAACATATTTAATTACAAATAGTGATGATTCACGTGGATGAAGTAGAGAGTGCTGTAAGAATATCCTCTAAAGGGGTCTGCTCTAGACTGGGGTACCAGGAATGGCCTACTGCAATAAACTGAATGCTTACAAACCCCCAAATTTACATCTGAATATCCTAACTCCCAAGGTGATGGTATTAGGAGTTGGGGCTTTGGAGACATGACTAGATTGTGAGGGCAGAGTTATCTATAAGGCAGGTGTTGTCTATGAGAAAGTGAGCCCTCACTGGGCACAGAATTGCCAGGACTTTTATCTTTGACTTTCCAGCCTCCAAACCTATGAGAAATCGATGTTTGTTGTTTATAAGCCATACAGTTTATCATATTTTCTTATAGCACCCCTAACAGACTGATATGGTTTGGCTCTGTGTTCTCACCCAAATCTCACGTTGAATTGCAATTCCCATTGTTGGGGAAAAGACCTGGTAGGAGGTGATTAGATCATGGGGGCACATTTTCCCCTTGTTGTTTTTGTGATAGTGAGTGGGTTCTCATAAAATATGGTTGGATAGAAGTGCGTAGCACATCTCCTTTCACTATCTCTCCCTCCTGATCCAGCCATGTAGGACATGCCAGCTTCCCCTTCCCCTTCCACCATAATTGTAAGTTTCCTGAGGCCTCCCCAGCCATGCTTCCTGTACAGCCTGCAGAACCATGAGCCAATTAAAGCTCTTTTCTTCATAAAGTACCCAGTTTCAGGTAGTTATTTATAGTAGTGTGAGAATGGACTAATATAGAAAGTTGGTATCAGAGAAGTGTGGCATTGCTGTAAAGATAACTGAAAATGTGGAAGCAACTTTGGAACTCGGTAACAGTTCGAGGCTGAAACAGTTTGGAGGGTTCGGAAGGAGAAAGGAAGATGAGGGAAAGTTGAGAACTTCCTAGAGACTTGTTGAATTGTTGTGACCAAAATGCTGATAGTGATATGGACAATGAAGTACAGGCTGAGGTGGTCTCAGATGGAGAAGACGAACTTGTTGGGAACTAAAGTAAATGTGACTCTTGTTATGCTTTAGCAAAGAGACTGGTGGCATTTTGCCCCTGCTCTAGAGATCTGTGGAACTTTGAATTTGAGACTGATGATTTAGGGTATCTGGCAGAAGAAATTTCTAAGCAGCAAAGTGTTCAGGAAGTGATCTGGCTGCTTCTAAAAGCCTAAGGTAATTTACATAAACAGAGAAATGACCTGAAACTGGAACTTATATTTAAAAAGGAAGTGGAGCATAAAATTTTGGAAAATTTGAGGCTGACCATGCAGTAAAACAGCAAAACTGATTTTCTGGGGAGAAATTCAAGCCTGCTGCAGAAATTTGCATGAGTAACGAGGATCCAAATGGTAATAGCTAAGACAATGGGGAAAATGCCTCCAGGGCATTTCAGAGACAGTTCAACAGCCCCTACCATCACAGATCTTGAGGCCTAGGAGGGAAAAACGGTTTCATGGGCCAGGCCTGGGGCCCCACTACTCTGTGCAGCCTCAGGACATGGTGCTCTGTATCCCAGCTGCTCCATCTCCAGCAGTCACTAAAAGGGGGCAATGTACAGCTTGGGCCATTGCTTCAGAGTGTGCCAGCGCCAAGCCTTAGTGGTTTCCACATAGTGTTGGACCTGAAGGTGCACAGAAGGCAGGAGTTCAGGCTTGACAGCCTCTGCCTAGATTTCACAGGATGTATGGAAATGCTTGGTTGTCCAGGCAGAAGTCTGCTGCAGGGGCAGAGCCCTCATAGAGAAACTTTACTAGGACAATGTGGAGGAAAAATGTGGATTTGGAGCCCCCACACAGAGTCTCCACTGGGGCACTGCATAGTGGAGCTATGAGAACTAGAGGGCCACCATCCTCCAGACCCCAGAATGGTAGATCAACCAACAGCTTGCACCATGCACCTGGAAAAGCTGCAAGCACTCAATGTCAGCCCTTGAAAACAGCTGCAGGGGCTGTACCCTCCAAAGCCTCAGGGATGGAGTTGCACAAGTCCTTTGGCACCCCCGCCCCTTGCACCACTGCAGCCTGGAAGCAAGAAATGGAGTCAAAGGAGAGTATTTTGAAGTTTTAAGATTTAATGACTGCCCTGTTGGTTTTTGAACTTGCATGGGGCCCATAGCCTCTTTGTTTTGACCAATTTCTCCCATTTGGAATGGAAGCAGTTACCCAATGCCTTTACCCCCATTGTTTCTAGGAAGTAACTAACTTGTTTTTTATTTCACGTGCTCATAGGTGGAAGGGACTTGTCTGTCTCAGATGAGGCTTTGGACTTGGACTTTTGAGTTAATGCTGGAATGAGTTAAGACTTTGGGGGGCTGTTAGGAAGTCATGATTGTGTTTGGAAATGTGAGAAGGACATGAGATTTGGGAGGTGCCAGGGGTGGAATGATATGGTTTGTCTCTGTGTCTCCACCCAAATCTCGTGTCAAATCGTAATTCTCAATTTTTGGAGAGGGACCTGATGGGAGGTGATTGGATCATGGGGCAGATTTTCCCCTTCTGGTGATAGTGAGTGAGTTCTCATGAGATCTGGTTGTTTAAAAGTGTGTAGCACCTCCCGCCTTTTTCTCTTCCTCCTGCTCCAGCTTCCCCTTCGCCTTCTATCATAATTGTAAGTTTCCTGAGGACTCCCCAGCCATGCTTCCTACACAGTCTGTGGAAGGATGAGCCAAGTAAACCTTTTTTCTTCATAAAGTACCCTGTCTTAAGTAGTTCCTTATAGCAGTGTGAGAACAGACTAAGACACAGACTAAGACACCTCCCAATGAAAGTGATATTAAAGTTGGTGACTAAAGAATGAATTAGGATTTAGCAAGGTAAAAGTAGGGTAGAGTGAGGGGACAATTCCAAGCATATTGAACAGCATATGCAAAGGCCCTGAGGCAAGAAATCCTTCAAATGTGATCTAATAACTCAGAGAAGTCGAAGTATTTGGACAGAGAAAGAGAAAAGAAGCAAGGGAGTGAGTAGAACAAGATGAGACTGATAAGACTTGCAGGTTCCTAATCATTCAAGGTCTGGCCTTTGGGTTGAGCAAGTTTTACAGTACATTAAAGGCAATGGGGAGTCTTTTAAGAGTTTTAAGCAGAATACTGTTATAATCCGATTGGTGTTTTAAAATTTTACCATGGTTAAAGTATACAGAATGCATTATCAGCTGCCTCGGTTAAAACAGAGGTGTGGAGGAACAGCTGCAGGTTTGACTCTTTGAATCTTTTATGTCAACGAGAAATGCAAGTAATCAAATAACTGAAGATCTAACATGCTAATGATCTCAAGGGATTATGCCTCTCCCCTAAAGCCCATCTATAATATCTTGAAAATTCAGATTTTAAAGAGGTGGATGCAGGGAGAAGGTGGTGTCAGAGCTACTTCTCAGGCTTCTAGCACGAGTAATATGGGGGCGGGAGAGAGGGGGATGTCATTTGCTGAAATGGGCAAGACTGTGAGAAGTAGGTTTTGAGGAGAAATCAATTAGGTAGTTGCATATGTAGGTTTTTAGCTTACATGAGAGGTCTGGGCTGTAGACAATGGTAGATAAAACAGATAAAATAAATTCTTATATATGTACTTGAACTGCTTCTGAAATAGAGACTTATGTTACCTGCCCATTGTTATTCCAGACATTTTTTGTGACACTTTGATCTTATTTCATGAACTTGATTCCAGGAACGACAATTAACTAGCTATGTGACT
This sequence comes from Homo sapiens, assembly GCF_000001405.40. Classification (NCBI taxonomy): domain Eukaryota; kingdom Metazoa; phylum Chordata; class Mammalia; order Primates; family Hominidae; genus Homo; species Homo sapiens. The sequence continues at coordinate 145,661,559 of NC_000023.11, forward strand.
TTGAAGAAATTACTTAACCTCATGGGAGCCTCAGCCTGGCATACAACAAATTATAATAGAATTGTTGAAGGCAAGAGCATATTTGTGTTCCAGTATCCTCTGTACCACTTATTAATTTATGACACTTAGGTCATTTAAATTATCTTTGCCTCCGTTTCTTCATCTATAAAATAAGGATAAGGACATGATTTACTCTAAGGCTTTTTTGAGGGTAAATAAATTATAATCTACGTAAAACTAATTTTTGTCACAATGCCTGAAACATGGTGAGCCTTAAATAAATGTGTTATCACAGCAGTTGTAGGACACAGTCAATAGATGTGTCCTCACTTCCTTTCTTCCTTCACCTTCTTTTCCAAACACTTTAATTCAATCAATTTTTGACCACTTATTATGTTCACCACCTTTTCTTTCTTCAGTTAGAACACATTAAGATATGAGAATTTAGTGCTCACCTTGTCGCTACCAGAATCAAATATGCAATAAAAATAGCAGTGCAAAGAGAGAACGAACGAAAAGCACTTTATTATCTTTTCTCTAGTATTGGTAAAAACAGACAGCAGTTCTGGGGAAACATTGGGTTCTGTCTTCTAAACTCTTGTTGCAAAAAATAATATTTCTCCTGTGTGGGTATCCTTACTGCCAAAAAGATGAATAAATACACACACACAATACTATCAAGAGTTAAATAATTTCACCTATTGAGGCCATCTCTTTTCAGCTTAATTGCCTTAAACTTGGCATTATATTGCCTGGTTCTTCCTATTAGATACTGTTTATCATGTTACCTTATTTCTTACTATTATCTGTGTTGCCAGAGCCCAGAGTAATATGATGACAAGGTAAATAGAAGTCTGCAGCCAGTCATGTAGGTTCTGAACACACTACAACTGAGGGCAAGCAGGGAAGCAAGCATGAGAGGCACGGAACCAGTGAGAAAATCAATGGGTAAAGAATCATTGAGGATAAATGAGAAAGTAAATGTGACTCACCAACATTAAGGAAATCACAAGGCTGTCCTAAAACTAGGGCCAGGCTCCTCTCTCAAGAAGGAATTCTTGTTTGTTGCCTGTTGGAATAAAAACAAGTCCTGAGTAATGCACAGTCTGTGTGTCAGATAAGTGAATGCATGTTTTGTCTCTGCTTGGAAAGAGTAAGGGGTTCAGAGTTGAAGGTAGATCCTGAAACCCAAAGAACTCCAGGTAGCAACAGCAGGCAGCCTGAGTCTGTATTTTTCCTCACACAATCCATCACCATTCTTTTCCTGTCCTTATCTGGAATTCTTGGAATAGACTAGTTGGCAGAATACTAACAAATCTGCTAATCTTTCTAGCTATGTGTTTTTCTTTTGCATTATAAAAATAACACTGCTCTGGCTCTACCCCTGAGACATCCAGTGGTCCATACCAATACCCTGATCTCCAATGATTGTTGTGAGATATGATGCCCAGTTTTCGTCACCCTCAGTACTTGAGAACTCTTAATTTCTATCTGTCTAACGAGGCTTCTGACATATCACCTGTTCTCTTTGCACTTGTCGACCAGTACTGATTTACAACTTGTTTCTGATTCTACATGCCTAGATTGTTTCTCAAGTTTTGTTTTATCATTAGTGTTTCAACTCACACAATAGACTATGCAAACCATAGTGCCATTAGACAGAAAATGATGAGAGACAGATAAATCAGAAAGAAAGTATTGAAAATCACCAACGACAAAAGCAAGAGAGGAAGTTTGCATCAAATCCTCTTTTCTTTAAACTTGTATACAAATATGAAATTATGGCATCTAGAAAAGTTGTGATGCTGCTAATACTTATTAAAAATAAATACATAGACTTGATACCACATAGTGTTTTGTTCAGTGAGATATTCGGAGTAGAATAAACTAGATTTACTTGTTTCTGTGGTAGAGACTGGCCAGTTCTTCACCAGTCTCTACCACTGTATTTTTTCTTTTTCCTACATTTCCCAGCTTCCCGTGGAGTAAATTGTAGTAATATGACTGAATACTAGCCAACTGATTATGAGAGGCAGTCATGTGCAATCCTTACAGGACTGATTCATAAAACTGTTCATACTTGATTCTCTAAGATCTTTCTCTTGGTTGAAGTAGAGGGGCCTGATGACCTCGAAAACCATGTATTGAAGATGGAGCCTCCATGAGATCGAGATATTCTAGGACCGTGAATCACCAACTGACAGAGAACCACTTGCTGATCAGGAACATTCATTTTGAAATTTGTGTGTGAGAAAAAAGGCTCCTATAAGGTTTGAGTCCTTGTATATTTTTGGATTTGTTTATTACCAAAGCTAATATCAACTTACATAATAGAGTAACCAAAAACAATCGCTAGTATTTATTGAGCTCCTATATAAAACAAACTCTATAAATGAGAAGTGGCTGCTGCTGCTAGTAAATAGGATAGGAATTGGATTTAAAACACTAATGTTTTTCACTACATACCCACTGAAACATGTCTCATGTAGTTTAGAAAGAGTGCACTATGTATATTTATTTATTTTTCCAGTTTTACCGAAGTATAATTGACAAGTAAAATCGTATGTATTTTAAGTGTACAACAGGAGGATTTGATGTATGTACACATTGTGAAATGATTGCCACAGTCAAGCTAATTAACACAACCATCACCTTACATAGCTGTTATTGTGTTTGTGTGTGTGTGGTAAGAACATTTAAGATCTACTGTCTTAGTAAATTTCAAGTGTACAACACAGTTTTGTTAACTATAGTCACCATCCTGTAGATTAGAACCCCAGAATTTACTCATCTTATAACTAAAACTGTGTACCCTTTGACTAACATCTCCCCTGGCCCCTGGTAACCACCATTCTACTCTCTGCGACCATGAAATAGATTTGTGAAAGGAAAATCAATCTCAGGACCCCCAGATTAGAAAGCCGAAAGGAACAGTCAAGCTGGGAACTGCTTAGGGCAAACCTGCCTTCCATTCTATTCCTAAAATAAATAGCTACTAAGATAAAAAAAAAAAAGCTACATATCTCACACACAATTTATCCATAAGGAAATTCCTTGTAGACAAAGGACAGACAAAACTCAAAGTCATCCATCTGCTCACTGAGATAAATGCATCTCTGATTGCTTCCTTTGGAAAAGCTAGTAAAAGACTCAAAAGAATGCAACAATTTGTCTCTTATCTACCTGTGACTTGGAAGCCCCCTCCCTGCTTTGAGTTTCCTACCTTTCTGGACCAAACCGTTGTACATTTTGCACATGTTGATTGACGTCTCATATCTCTCTAAAATGTATAAAGCCAAGCTGTGCTCCAATCACCTTGGGCACATGTCACCAGGACCTCCTGAGGCTGCATCATACCTGCACATCCTTAACCTTGGTAAAATAAACTTTCTAAATTAACTGAGACCTGTCTCAGATATTTGGGGTTCACATTTGGTGACCATGAAGGGACTCTGAGTGAAGGTGGCCCTGATCTTTGACAAATCATCGGTGCTTGGTACCAGCTTGAGATATCTTCATGGGTCAAACAAATAGGACATTTGGCTGACGCCTGGGAGCCCCCGCTCCAGAGAATCCCTGATCTCCCAAAATTTGGTCAAGATCTAAAGTTAATTTTTCTGAACAACTTATTTTTCTGCCATTTACTTGCTTCCAACAAGGAAGGCGTTTTCCTGCTTCCATGACGATGGAAGGCAGGTAACTCCATTCTGGAGTTTGAGTTCACTTCTGACAGGCAATGTGAGTTTTTTCCTGCGTCTAGGATGGTAGAGAGCAGTCTTCAGCCTGAGACCTATCCCTAGGTAAGTAGCTAAATTGTGGTTTCATCTTGGCTAAAGTTACAATTAAAGCCAGCCGGTCTTAATTTCTCCTTACCATTACAGTGCTCAGTTGTTGGGTTGTTGTTGTTGTTGTTGTTGTTGTTGTTGTTTCTGGCCTTTCTCCTGTCAGACTTGACCAACTGTACCTGACTTGGTCTAATCTGAATGAGAATTCCAAATTATGAGAAACAAGTCCTCTCTGAGAAAAACAAAACAAAACCATGAGCTTGGTTTCTGCGTTTGATTCCTGTCTTTAAAAAAAATTCTTATTTAGTTTACTATTCTTCCACTCAATTCCTCCTTTCCCCTTTGCCATTTTCAGTACCAAGATAAATCTAGAGAAGATTTCTAATGACTCTAACCCCTTTAAGAACTCAGAACTAAGGCACCACTCACATCTTCTTGGGGTGTTCTGTTTTCTTTGCGGGGTTTCAAGAGTCATGGGCAGATTCTTAGGTCTAAAGTTCTGCTCTCTTGTACTGCATTACATGAACTCTTTGGTTTTTTGGGGTACCAGAGATTATCTTGTACTGTGAGAGGATTTGACCTCAGCATGTGTAATGGTGTAAGAGAGCTACAAAGTTAAAAGTGGCTAAGGACAGTTTACAGGAATTGGTCTTATCTGTTTTTGTTTGTCTGTTTGTTTGTTTGTTCCTCCTAGGAAGCTGCTGTTTAGGATCCTAATTTTAATTCCTAGGTACATTATAAAGAGTCTTCTCCATTCTCTTTCCTCCCAAAATTAATCTCAATTTGGCTTGTGTGCATATTTGCATGAGGAACTAAACTGTCGTTTGCATAGATAAAGGAGAGACTGAGTTTCCTCAGCTCCGAAGCGAAAGGGCATTTTGCTCTTCTCAGCTGAAAGTCACCCGTGGGTGACAGGGGGCCAAGTGATAGTGTCTGGGGGGCTGTGCATTTCTGAGACACAGGGCCAGAAATTAAAACTATTCAACTTCTCAAGGCCCAGGGGCTATCGCAGAATACGTGGGTGCATGAGATTGTAAGAGCCAATTTTGAAAAATAAAATAAGTTCAGTTTCTCTATAACTTAACAATTAATGTCAAAGGCAGGCCAGCATATGGGCACCTGCATTTGATTAACAAGGTTTATTTGGAGCATTAACCCACTCCTTATTAAAGGTTAAAAAGGCTTATGAAAATTATATCTTGTAGTCAAGATGATTAAAATTTTATAGATTGTTTATAAAATTTGGGAAAACAAATTTAATTGGCTTCGTGCTGTTTTTATTAGGGCTTATTGTTGGGGGAATTAAGTCTCCTCTCCCAAAGAATAAAGGTTTTCACTGTTTTTAAAAATCTTTGAGTTATCACTTTGGCTAAATGAATGACTTATTTTACAATGATTGTTGATTCAATTTTGTGATATCAAGCATTTTATACATTTTATATTTGACAAACTTCCCAAAGTCAAATTCTAACTTTGATCCTCATTAATTTTTTGATATTGGTCTCTTGAAGTCCAAAAGAGACATATTCGGCTTGTTTGAGATAATAAAATCATACAGGAAGTATTGTCAAATATGAAACAGTGTTTACCCTTCTTTGGATTATATTTATATAAATGTGTTATTAGTATGTGTTCCAGAACTATATGAAATTCTTTTGATTCTGATATGTTTTAGCATGTTATTATGAGTAATTATGATTATTATGTAAAATTGTTGTATGGCACAGAAGTAACCACGTTTCCTTGTCAATTGTGTTTTTAACTATGACTGTTTTAAAACTTGTGCCATCCACAATTGTTTTACTTTTATCCTTTTCAAAATGTGGTTTTGTAATCAGCATAGGACTCTGACAGATGCTCCTGAATGCATGTTTTGGAGATTGTGATGCTAGAATAGAGAAAAAGTCTTCAAAATCTACCAGGGAGAGCTGAAATGTCCATGAATATCAAGCAGAATGTGAGTTAACTGCTTGGACTCAACTAACAGAATATTGAAATACTCCTTTTATGATTTTTGCTTAAAACGTTGCTGATCCTTTCTCTGTTTTCCAGAGCCAAGAAAAATTTTCTTTTGAGCTATTTACAGCTTTTAACAATTGAGTAAACTATACTCCTAAAAACGAAATTTGGAGCATATTTCTCTCTACCTGATTCCTCCAAAATTTGGAAACTAGTTGTGAGTATTCTTCACTTATGGCAATGTTATTTGCATAAGTACAAATTCTTATTGTTTCTGTTTTGTTTTGTAACAGGACACAATTGGAGACACTGGTATTTTACCAGTGTTTTGACTGGAATAGCATGCTATCAGATACAGACTCCTTTATGGAATTAAAGTTGACTTTTAGAGCCAATAAAAGCCCCTTGGGAAAGCTAACCTCATACCTTGTCCAGACAGTCCCAGTACAGGTTCCTGACCGGTAGTAAGTAAAGAATGTCACTTTCTGACAGACTCAGGAGCCCCAGATTCTCTTGGGACCTCTAGGTGAATAATTCACCCAATTAATACAGGTATTTGCAGGCACAGGCTAAGATTGAGGCATTAAAGTTGAATCTGAGATCCCTTATCAAATGAAGTTCCAGCAAAGCCAATTTTTGTTAAAGAGGAGCCTACATGGTAAATGTTTATTCTTGTTGACTTTATGCAAATACTCTGGCCAAATATAATAAGACTAAGACTTATTTTGCAAATGAATTTCTCCCATAATTTGTCTTTAGTGAATATGGGACTGAAGAGAAACATCAAAATAAACGATTGTACACATGCTCTTAGAGTCTCGTCTTGCCTAATGTTTTTCAATTTTTATTATTTTCTACAGGTTGGAGTGAATTGTAAAATTTTTCCTGGCTAAAAGTCTCCAAAATAATGTTTTCAGTTCCTTCTTTCCATTCATTTTTTCCCTATTTTTTTCTGATTTGAAATAACTAAAAATGAAGCTGTATTTTCTTAAAGCCCTGCAAACTGAAGCCAGATAACTTAAACTTCAGAAGAAAATAACAGCAACCTATTTACATACATAAGCCACTTTCCTACTTTCCTACTGATGTATAGATTTCAGAGTAATAGGCCTATATAGATTTTCCAAAATTGGTATTCTTTTTTTGTTTGTTGTTGCTTTTCTTCCTTACCCCCACTATTTTTTCTCTGTAGGACATGAGACTTTACAATCTGCTAAAAATGAGCTTTCCTAATAACATGGGACCTACCCATCTAAGAATAAACCATTCTTGCTATATCACGCAAAACCTGAGACCAGAGACTCATTTTTTTCTAAAATCCTGTCTCCAGAATATTTTAAAACGAAAAGTGTGGGAAATGAGAAAGAAAAATAAATCTCAAGAACCTCAAATCCCTAAGCCAAAGGGAAAAGTCAAGCTGGGAACTACTTATGGCAAATCGGTCTACCATTCTATTCCTAAATATTCCTAAAATAGATTCCTAAAATCTATTCCTAAAATAGATACCTGCTAAGATAAAAAAAAGGTACATACCTCCTTCGCAATTTGTCTATAAGAAAATTCTTTGTGGACAAAGGACAGACAGAACTCAAAGTCATCCCTCTGCTCACTGAGATAAATGAATATCTGATAGCTTCTTTTGGAAAGACTAATCAGAAACTCAGAAGAATGCAACCCTTTTCCTCTTATCTACCGATTACCTGGAAGCCCCCTCCCTGCTTTGAGTTCTCCCGCCTTTCTGGACTGAACCAATGTACATCTTACATATATTGATTGATGTCTCATGTCTCCCTAAAATGTACAAAACCAAGCTGTTCCCAGACAACCTTGGACACGTGTCATCAGGACCGACTGAGGCTGTTTCATGGGCACATTCTTAACCTTGGTAAATTAAGCTTTCTAAATTGACTGAGACCTGTCTCAGATATTTGAGGTTCACAGGCTTTTTCAGATTGTCTATTTTAGAGAGATCATACAGTATGTGCTTTTCTGTGTCTAGCTTACATTACTTAGCATAATGTTCTCCAGGCTCATTCATGTTGTGGAAGATGGCAGAATTTTCTTCTTTTTAAATGCTGAATAATAATATTTTATTGTGTATGTGTGTATATGTATCCGTTCATCCATGCACAGGCACTTAGGTTGTTTCCATATCTTGGCTATTGTAAATAATGCTGTAATGAACATGGGAATTCAGATATCTCTTTCACATACTGATTTCATTGCCATTAAATATTCACCTAAATGTAGAAATGCTGTGTCATATGGTAGTTGTATTTTTAACTTTTAGAGGAACCACCATACTGTTTTCCATAACAACATTACTAATTTACATTCCAACCAGCAGTGTACAAGGGTTCCCTTTTCTCAACACCCTCACCAACAATTATTGTCTCTTGCCTCTTGATAACAGCCATCCCGACAGGTGTGGGGATATCTCATTGTGGTTTTGACTTGCAAATCCCTGATGATTAGCGATGCTGAATATCTTTTCATATAACTGTTGGTCGTTTTGATATCTTTTTTTGGAAAAGTGTCTATTCAGATTCTTTGCCCACTGTTTAATTAGGCCATTTGAGATTTCTTTTTTGTAAATATTAAGTTATACAAGTTACTTTTACATTTTGCATATTAATTCTTCATATTATATTATAATTTGAATATAATACACAGTATGTAAATATTTCATCCTGCTTCACAAGTTGCCTTTTTATTTTATTGATTATTTTCTTCGCTGTGCAGGAAGTGCAGCAAAGTCTCAGTTTGATGTAGTCTCAATATTTTTATTTTTGTTGCCTTTGCTTTAGCAGTCATATTAAAGTCATATTAAAGAAAAAAATCATTGCCAAGACCAATGTCAAGGAGCTTTTTCCTACTAGTTTTACAGTTTTAGATCTTATGTTTAAGTCCTTAATTAATTTCAAGTTAATTTTTGTGTATTGTGTAAGACAAGGCTCCAATTTCACTCTTTTGTATGAGGATATCGAGTTTTCCCAACACTATATATTAAAAAGATTCTCCTTTCCCCATTGTGTGTAATTCCTGGAAAAGATTAGTTGACCGTACATGTGTGGGTTATGTAGGGGATTTCTATTCTCTTCCATTAGTCTATGTGCCTGTTTTTATGCCAGGACCATGATGCTTTGATTACTAAAACTTTGTAGTAGATTTTAAACTCAGGTAGTGTGATGCCTCCAGCTTTGTTCCTCTTGCTCAAGATTGTTTTGGCTATTTGAGGTCTTTCATAATTCCAGTAAATTTCAGCATTTTTTCTATTTCTGTAAAAAATGCCATTGAAATTTTGATAAGGATTGCATTTAATCTGTAGATCACTTTTGTCAGACATTTTAGCAAGATTAATAATTTCGATTCATGAACAAGAGAAATTTTTCCCTTCATTGTTGTCCCCTTCGATTGTTTTCATCCATGTTTTATAGTTTTCAGTGTACAGGGTCTTTTATCTCCTTGATTAAATTTATTCCTAAGTTTTTTATTTTTTGAGCTATTATAAATGGGATGCTTTTCTTAATTTCTTTTTTGAATAGTTTGTTGCTTGTGTATAGATATGCTACTGATTTTTGTATGTTGATTTTGTATCCTGAAATGTTACTGAATTTCTTTATTGGTTCTAATACTTTTGGGGGGAAGTCTTTAGGGTTTTCTACGTGTAAGATCATTTTGTCTGCAACCAGAGACAATTTCACTTCAATGCCTTTCTTATTTCAGTGTCTTTTATTCTTTTCTCTTGCCCAATTGTTCTGGCTAGGACTTCCAATACTTTCAGTACTCTGTTGAATAGAAGTGAAAGCAAGCCTCCTTGTCTTGTTCCTGATATAAGAAGAAAAGCTTTCAGCTTTCAACATCGATCATGATGGTAGTTATCGGCTTGTCATACATGGCTTTTATTATACTGAAGTACATTTTTTCTGTACCTAGTTTGTTGAGCATTTTTCATGACAGGATCTTGAATTTTGTCAAATGTTTTTATGCATCTTTTCGGATCATCATAGGACTTCATCTTCTATTCTGTTCATTATATCACATTCATAGATTTATATATATTGAAATTTCATTGCATCTAAGGAATAAATCCCATTTGATCATGGTGCATGATCCTTTTAATGTGCTGTTGAATTTTGTTTGTTAGTATTTCGTTTAGAATTTTTACATCTAAGTTCATCAAGGATATTAGTCTGTAAATTTTTTCTTGCAGTGTCCTTGTCTGGTTTTAGTATGAAGGTAATGCTAGCCTCATAAAATGAGTTTGGGCATGTCCCCACCTCTTTAACTTTTTAGAATAGTTTCAGAAGGAAAATACAGTGTGTTTGTAACAAAGACTGGAAACCAGACACCCGAGTGAATGGCTTCAGATACAGTCTGTGTAAGGGAACATAAAACTTGGTTTGAGACAGCCTTAAATCAGTGCGATTCATGCCTGAGTGCCTGAGTCTGTCTCTCTAGTGACAGAAGCCCTGTATTATTCAAATATGTATCCTCTTCTTCTCCAGTACCTTGTTCAGTGTCTTGCAAATAGTTGATGTCCACCGGATGATCTTACAAATGAATTGGTTTGAATACAAAGTACAAAGTTTGGAACTGTGGTAAGTTAGTTTCATAGCTCCTATTTTGTTTTTTCTAGATTCACCCTCCTGAAAATTGTCTTGTGTATGAGGTCAAATCTAAAAATAATTTTTAAGAAATTTAAATTACCTCTTAGGTGATACTTTAGCTCATCTCTTATACCTTTCTGTGCTTTTAAAAGCAGATAACTTAGGTAAAGCTCTTAGCACAATTCCTAGAATATGCCAAGCACTCAATAAAATGGCAACTGTTATCATTAACATCAGGTTTCACTGTGATCTCTCATTGATATTCTCCTTTTGGATATTTTTCCTGTCTAGTGTTGGTGTTTCTAATGCTATGATTTCTACTGCTGTGCCTTATCTTCTCTAATTTCATTCATTCACATTACTTTTACCAGACACTGAAACATACTCTATATGTATTACCTCATTACTCCTCATTAAAAATGGGGTTTGGTATATTTGTTCTACAAATGAGAAAACCAAGACCCATAATTTAAGTATCTTGTCTAAGATCACACAGCTTTAAATGACAGAACTGGAATTCAAAACCAAGTCTGCCCAACTACAAAGCGTAGGCTATCCACAGCACTAATAACTGAATTTTCCTTTTCTTTAAAGAGAAATTACTATCATTATTAGCTCATTAGTTACATAACATGGAGTAGACATTTAAGGTTGGAAGGAATATAGTCCATAGTAAGCTGGAGCCAGCTTATAATAGCTTGCAAGAGTAGATATCTTCCCAGTTCCATGTTCAGTGACAGCCCATCCACAGCTTGAAATTATCCATGGTGGGTTGGAGTGTTTGCACTGTAAAAATTATCAAATGGTACACACAGCACAAATAAAGTCTTCTTTTTCTTTTTCTTTTTAATTTTTTTTTTTTGAGATGGAGTTTCGCTCTTGCTGCCCAGACTGGAGTGCAGTGGCACGATCTCAGCTCACTGCAACCTCCGCCTCATGGGTTCAAGTGATTATCCTGCCTCAGCCTACCGAGTAGCTGGGATTATAGGCAGCCGCCACCACACCAGGCTGATTTTTGTATTTTTAGTAGAGACGGGGTTTCACTACATTGGCCAGGCTGGTCTCGAACTCCTGACCTCAGGTGATCCTCCTGCCTTGGCCTCCCAAAGTGCTAGGATTACAGGCATGAGCCACTGCGCCTGATCTCTCTTTCTTTTTACGAGAAAATGACTGGTTTTGTAGTACAGACTGTTTGGTTCATAAGGAAATAAGGTTAGAGGAGGCTAATGGCTTATCCAATGTAATAGAGCTAGTTTGTGGCAGAGATGGAAACATAACCCAGGTTTTCTGGCCCCCAATATATAATGTAAAAGCTGTTGCTACCTCCTCCCTTATTTGGATAGAAATCAGAGGGAGAGTGGGAGAGAGTTCATGAAGTGTGTAATAATACAGAGCATCATAGATTCTGCATTGTAAGAAAAGTTGAATATCTTATCTAGTATTTCCCAACAGTAGCTTCATATAAGACTCACCTGAGGCAACTGTGAAAATTAACATTTTCCTGGACCATCTACTGAATGAGACACTCCAGGTGAATCTGCATGCTTAATATGAATCTCTGCATGTTGTTATACAGCCACAGATTCTCATTCAGAAATCGCTTTATGTAGCCCAATTTTGTATTCCATGTGTGAAACCTCTCCACATAATTCATGCTTTTATCCTGTATGTGTTTAACTCTAACCTCTAAGCTTTAAACAGTTCATTCCCTTAAGTCATTTTTTTGTGTAAGGTTTGCACATTACAATGTGAAACAAGTTTCCAGAAACTAATGACTTACAGTATTAAATATATATATATACAAATTATGTTGGTATGATAAAAGAACTTTTGTTCTTGGGGACTTTATAGTCACTGTCTTCTTTGGGATGCAGGAAAGGATTATCAGAAAATTTGTGTGTGTGTGTGTGTATGTGTGTATGTGTGTGTGTGTGTGTACAGAATGGGAGAAAGGGTAGCCTCAAGAATATCCTCATTTCAGGGCTCTGGGAGGAGCTTGGAGTGCTCAGGGGATGCCCCGCTTTGGCACTAAGTGTGAAGGCAGGGAATGTCCCGCTGAAAGAAGCCAGCCGTGATCACTGGCAGGGAGAGCAATAAAAACAGAGACTTTGTTCTCAAAAGCTTGCTGAAAGTATAACATTGGACCATTGAGACAGCTCAGTCTCTCACACACACTCCCACTGGGCTTTGCCAAGGTGCAGGAAGGCCTTGCTCAGCCTAGCACACAGAGAATTGCTCCCTCTGAAAGGAACCAAGTAGCTCGCAGACAGTAATAAAGTTCTTGAAAGAGTGTGCCAAAGGAAAGTTTTTAATCTTTAATTTGTTTACAACTTAAATCCAGGGTTTATCAGCAAATATGATTTGGAGGCACTCAGGATTAAGTGGGTATTTTTTTTCTTTCAAAGTCATACGAAGCTCGAAGGATACCAGCAGCTCCAAGAATATCATTTTCTCTGGAATTCTTGACTCTGGAAAAGATATCAATGAAAGACATCATAGTTATAAAGCTGTAACCTATAGCCATGAAAGAAGGCTTCCAAAATACTCCTGGTGGTTAGGAGAGCTATGCACATGACCGTTGTGGCAAATAGTATGAATTTAACTCTGGAGTCCCTAAATCCCTAGTTTTCGAGATAGTCTAATTATTGAATAAATGAATGTATGATCTAATGAATGAATGGATGGAAAATAGTCACCTGCCTGATGATAGTGCCTGAAAAGCAACCAATAAGAAACAACACATCCAAAATCTTCACAAGGAGGAGAAATTATTGATTCTTTGATTTATTCATCAAAAGTTTACCAAGCACTTACTATGAACCAGATTCTGTGATGACCACTGGGAGTATCTGTCTCAGTAGTTCTCAGACTTGAATGTGCATCAGAAATACTTGAAGGGCTCATTAAAACAGATTGCTGGCCCCACCCCTAAAGTCTCTGACTTATTAAGTCTGGAGGGATGCTCAAGAGTATCCATTCCTAACAATTGCCCAAGAGATGCTGATAGGCAAGGGACCAGACTTCTAGAACGGCAGGTTGTTCATACGGGAAGGAACATGTAAATGTTTATAATGCATAGTAATAAGTGGTAAGTGCCATGAAGTGTGTTGGGAGAGCACAGAAGAGGGGCACTTTATTCAGCTTTGGGATGAGGGGACAAGGGGAAGAGGTCACCAAAGGCTTTCCAGAAGTGGTGACACCTCAGGTGAGTCTTGGAAGTTGAGTGAGAGTTCCCATCAGGGGAGGAAGAATTGAGAAGATACTCTGGATGGAAGAAATAGCATGTATGAAAACAGAGAGGTGAGAAGTAGCATGGTGATTTTAGAGAACTGCAAGTAATTTTTGGCAAGAGTTGGAGTGGATAACAAGTTTCCACTTATAACATCTAGTACAGGCTTGCCACAAAAGAGGCACTCAATAATGTGTAAATGAATGAAATGTTATAGCACTATGCTAGGGACTATGGGAACTCCAGGATAACATGTGGTCCTAGGCTCAACCCTCGAGAAGCTGTCAAAACTGTTTTGGGGAGGAGACATGGTGCTTTCAAAGTGAAGCAGTAATTCCCCAGAGACCACAATGTGGTAGACAGCAGCCAGGGAGGCTGCCTGGATCACAGTGATTTCTTCTCTCTTCTGGAAATGATACTTAGCCTAAGGTTTGCAGACAGAGTTTAGGTTAAGTGATTCTACCTCATGCCATCCCAGAGTTTTCTGGAGATAGGTATCTGAAGCAAGTAGGTAAATCAGAGTACTTCCCTACAATTATTTGAAATGAAATGGAGAAGAAAATCTGAAACCTCCTCTAGTGAACAGCCTGTGGGTATATAAACAGCACAGGAACTGTTTGTCACCATGTCTCCCAGAAGAAGCTGAGAGAAAGAAGGTTCTATGCCAATGGAAGCAAAGATGAGAGAGGGACAGAGCACTGGCAGCACTCTGAGTCTGAGTCTCTGATTCCAAATGTCCCTAAGGCCCAGCTGCCCTTGATCTTCCCACCTTTTCTTAGTAGATTAAATTCCTCAAGGGCCTTCCGGTAAATTTCCCTTTTGGCCTCAGCCAGATCAAATTGAATTTCTGTCACTTGCAATCAAATCAGCTGTGACTGCTATAGTCAGCAATCACTCAGGATTCAATGCATGAAAACGACACTGAAAGGACCTATAATCCATGTGCTAAACCTGTAGTAGAAGTGGCGTGGGTGCAGTGGGACTTGAGCTAGCATCGGGACACCTGGGCAGGACTCGGCCAAAGAAAAGTGAATGGAGGCCCTACCAAATAAAGAGAATAGCTTAAAAGAAAGTGCTGTGTTAGAAATAAACATGGTTTCCAATGCTGGGGGATAGGCCTGCCGGCTGGACAATGGCTTCTTTCTGGGGTAAGTATGAAGAAGCATCAGATATGAAGGAGCTTGCATGCTAGGCTCAGACGATTGGACTTTCACTTGAAAGTCTGGAAGGACAAACGGAAGAAAGTGGTGTTTTTCAAGAGCATGAATCTCATGACAGTTTTTTTTTTTTTTCCTGGGGAGAGTTCTCTCTCAGTCTCTCTTTCTTTCTGAGAAGAGGTGTTCTTACAGAGAATGCTCATCGCCAGACTTCTCAGGAATTGCTAGGAACTGGGTGTGGGCAGCAGGGCTCACCCTGAGACAGTTTACCCTAACCCAGAGGAGCCGAGAATGGCAGTGTGGAACATGGCCACAGAGAGCATAGCAGCCGCCAGGTGAGGTAGTGGGCAGAGCACTGGGCTGGGATTCAGAAGCTCTGTCCTTACACAAGTCACTTGCCTCATTGAACCACACTTTTCTAATCTGTAATATGGGAATAGTAATCCCCACTTTGTTTTTCTCACAGAGTGGCCATACAGAGAATTAAGATCATATGTATGTAAGAACTTTCTGCATTGCAAAGAATTGGCAAAAGGTTGTGAATACTGCAGCGTGATTTAACTGTTTATTTCAGAAAATCTGTGACAGAGCTTGCCTAAGTCATCACTAGTAGCGTACTTTTATTGGATGGGTGTGGTATTTCCCAAGCAGCCATCTCAGTTTAGGGAGACTGCTTTCCACTACATTTTCTGGGCAGGCCCATCTTTGTAAGGCTTTTCTCTTTTTTTAGATCAGACATGCTGCAATTACAAATTACTTTCAAGACATTTTAAATCAACTGGGAAAGTATGCACGTGCCCTGGTCCATGGAGACCACGTTTGCTCATCATGTTGTCTCCTCATTATTAATCCTGTCCCAAGATCCCTTTCTTTAAGCATCTCCTTCTCTTTTATGGGAGGGAGCCCTGTCTCACAACCAACAATACGTTTCCCGGAGCCATTCATCTTTTCTTTCACGCATACCACATTTAACATTCTCTCATGTCTCCGTCAGAAGAGTGCACTCACTGCAAATCCACTGGGTCCAGGCCTGATGCTGGGAGCAGGGCACACCTGTCTGGCACTGCCAACTCTGCCCTGATTTATTCAGAGATGGAGCTGAATGCCCTGAACGTCTTCAGCCCTGGGAAGTCCTTGTCAACGCTGTGATCTATATATGCCTTCAGGGAAACAGTCAAGAGACCAATCCAAATCAGGTGTCTTCCTTCATACGGATGACGGGAGAGCGGTGCTCAAGCTACAGGATGGCTACAGTACCTTTGAGTGTTACGGGAATGTATGGAGTTCTGTTGCTACCACAGTTTACTTTCTGCATATTTCTCTACACTGTGTCATTGGCAAGGTTTCCGACTTTGTCATGCTCTTCAAGCTTTACAGCGTGTAATAGAAGAGACATTTCAATTGTAATGTAAAAAAGATACTTTGTCGCTTTTATCTTCACTGATTCAAGTCAACACATGTCCATGTCCAGAAACTTTTCTATTATCGAGCCTGCATTTTAATAGGATGACTCCGAAAAGTACCCATTTTCCTAATTATTTCAGAATTACGTGGACAGTAATTACCATCTTCCATTAGCAGCACTAGTGGTGGTTAGGACAAAATTCAAATGCATCCAGCAAGTGCTTTACACTAATATGTCTGCTTCATTAACTTCAATCAAAAGACAGCAGTGGCTCCTCATAGCAGTAACTTTGCTTTGATACATTCTCATCAAATATTGATCTGAATAGTGTGTAGGAGTTCTCTGTCAGGCTGTGTGAAATTTATTTACTGAATATATTATTTCTATCCCCAAACTGCCAGTTGCTATCTCAGAAAATGTTTTTTTCATGTTAAAAGTTTATTAACATTAAGAAATCACTAAATTTTTGGCCATTAAAACGTGTTCAGAAAAAGGTTTTTAGTGCAAAATCTGCAACAGGAAAGGAGAGGATTCAAAATTTTATCAGATGATAGATAGGTTTGCTTTTCCAGTTGGTCCGAATAATTTGTTTCCCAGAGAACCAAATCTGCGCAATCGTAACTGGCAGTGCTCCCTTCCCCCAAACAGGTTTACCCAAATGTAACTGGTGTGGCTTGCGATTAAACAGATATTTTGTTGAACTCCGTTTCTTATTTTTTTTTTGAAACTTTTTAACAGAGATACAGGTTTCTGGTATTCGAAACTTCACAGATTCAGGAAAGAGAGAGAAATTCTCTTCTAAATGTATGCGTCATTTCACATGGACTCTTCAGTTGCAGCTGAGGCCTGTGAGGGTGGCAGAGCAGTGAACAGAATACAGAGCAGGAAAGAGAGCCTGGCCGAAGAGTTCTGAAGGAGGAGATAGGCAAGGTTATTAAATAGGTTCTGACAGTCCCGTAGAACCAGCAAGAGACAAAGCACCGGGCATGAAATGGGAATTAGAAGGCCATTTAGCAATCCAAAATGGCAACCCTATCAGCAACTGAAAGCTAGCAGGGAAAGAAAAATCCAGAAGTTGTTTTCTATCTGATTTCACTGGAGATTTAAAAGTGAAGTTGCAAGAGAGTACAAAGGAAGGTTGCTTGTGATGGGGGGGTAGAAAACACAAGTGAGACAAGCCATTTTCCCAGAAATGAGGCAAAGAATTTCCGTTAAATGCAGTGTGTTGTGACTGAATGGAGAGCCAATTGACTCCAAATCGTTTGGTGTGTTGGGATCACAAACCTTGAGATGGCCTGGAATTCTTTGACAAATATTTACTGGTCACCTACGTTAGGCTTTTGTTCTAGATGATGATGAGCAAAACATGATTTCAATATTGTGCCTGTTGTCTGTGACCATTGCTGTGTTCATCCCAGTTGCCTGTGACAGTCATGATCAACAAGTCTGCACCATGACCTTCTCATCTCCATATCCAGTGCCCAAGTTATTCCTTTCCCCAACTGCAGGGTGAGATGTGCCTGGACACGGTCTGCCACTGTGGCAGTTGCCCCTCAATAAACATAATTGAGAAGCTGAGGGCACACAGGGCCAGAGGCTGTTGTCAGACTCCAAATCTAAGACTGGCCCAGGTTCCAGATGCAACTCAAAAGGGCCATTTCGAAGAAAAGAGTCCTGTGTGAGTATTCTCAATCACATATAGACAGGGTCTGCCTCAGGGACTGCTTCTCCAATTGTAAAAGGATATGAACGGAATCGTACACCCTTAAGTTTTACACATGCATAAAGAGCTTTATACACAAAAACCCATGTCCAAATATCATCACACTTATTGTCCAGAGTGAGTGATGTGACTCCTACATTGCAGGCTGGAAACATCAGCTCCAAATGTTAAGTGACTTTCCCAAGGTCATACAACTGGTGACTATCAGAATCAAAACTCAAACACTGATTTTCTAATTACCGACCATTCACTGTTTTTATTATCACAAGTTACATGTCTGCCCAATATTTATGCTTTATAATTCAAATGTGTATCACAGAGGTATAATAACATACTCTTACCTATTTACATATGTCAATAGGCCTAATATGTCTATGCAGCTATTTAGTAATTAACAGAGTGATTGTTATTGCTATTGAATGATTACTCTGTAGCAGGCACCATATTAAATATTTTAAGGTTTTTTCTTTTTTAATCCTCAACAACCCTATGAGATATGTACTCTAACATATAAGGAAATTGAGACTCAGAAGGTTACATACCTGATTCAAAGTTACATAACGTATATGAAAGGTCATGTTCTTTCTATGAGGTACTACTTACTTCATTTCTCTGATGCACACGTGCACTTGTTCTCTTTCTCTTTCTCCTCCTTTCTCTCCCTCTCTGCCTCTCTTTTGATCGTTGTCTCTCTGTCTGTGAATGCGTGCAAGTCTCTCTCATTGTCATGTAGACAATGTGCAACTCTGCTCTATAATCTAATTAAATAGTCAAATGAGATGTCATCCAATGTAGTGGATAGGCAAACACAGGATAAACAAGAGTAACAGTGGTCTCTTTGGCCCTTTTAGTTATTGAGCTGAAGTCACCCCTCCTGGGTTTTGCTTGGCCTTTCTGAAAAAGGTCTTCCTCAAGAAAAAAATTTGAGAAAAAAAAAAAAAACTTGAAGAAGACACAGATATTTTGCTGGCTTGATAAGAAGTAGTTTGCTTCAGAGTTGTGGAGAATGATGTATTCAAAAGTGGGTAGACAAGCAAAGGCTGACAATGGGAGCTATATATTTGTCTAGAGAGTAGAGAATTTTTAGAAAGTACAAGAAATGACTATAATAAAATATTACTAGTGATTCAGTATAGAATTGTGACGTATTTTGTAGAAAATTAAATAAGAAACATAGCTTGTTACCTTGCTATTACTTTAGAATTACACCAAGACTCTCCTGAAGGTTTATGATTATAAATCCAAAAGATCATTATACTGCATTAGGGTGGATAATTACTGACCTGATTTGGATCAAGGTGAATTCAACTTCTTTTCATCAAAGTGTAATTATTCTTTATTCAAGCCCTTTCCAGATCAACATTCTCTTTGATGGAAGGGGAAAATAACACATTCTTTCTAATACAGTATGTATATTTATTAAGTATCATAGATCCTTAATTGTAAACTGATTTTCTACTTTCCTGGGGTCACTGGAGGATTGCACTCCAGAACTGAACAATGCCTTAATGAATGTAATTTGGTGGCTCCACTTGCTAATGTGACTTGTTCCTACTGTTTATTTCACTTCAAAATTGGACGTGATCAGATATGGAAGCATAATTACACTGTGTAGAAATAAGATCCAAGATTTCCAGACCTGACAGAAGAAAGCATGTGGGCATGTAATTAAGAGAGAGGAAAAAAGTTGACCTACTTTTTGAGTTTCAGAGATCAACCTGTACATCTGACTATGGATCAATTCATCCCCTTGTCTATTGTTCTTCTAATAATCCTGACCTCATTTTTTATTGTTTGTACTAATGAAATAATTTGTAGTCTAATTCTGTTGATTTAGAACTCCAAACAAATGAGAGATTTGGAAGTGTCAATTAGGCAATCTGTGGAATTCCTTTCACAAAGATTGCTTTGTTAGCCTCATTTTGTATTCAGTATGTGAAATTAATTTGGGGGCAGGGGTAATGGGAAGGAATCATGCCAGTTACAAGGTCATTGCAAGGGATGATTCAAATTAGAAACTGTCACATGCAACACATGATAACTGGGTGTCTTCTTCACTTAAAAGAACTATCAATATTAAAATTAATCATCTGGGAACAGTCAAAATCGTAATGGCCCTCCTCTTTTAAAGAATAAAGGTGATTTTATGCAAATGGTGGTAAAAGAAAGAAAGAAAAAGAAGAAAGATGAGATTTCTTAACTCTGCATTCAAGGGTCTGGTTTAACTTCCAGGAAAGGAGCAATTTGGTGGAAGTAATTTGTCTGTAAGGTCTATAGAACATTCACGTGGAAATATCCACTAGGCTATTACGGACCTGAGGTCCTGGAGAGATGTCTGGACTAGAGACCTATTTGAGAACCATTTGCGTAAAAGGCAGAATTTTCTAATATAACTTTTTGTGATGATAAGACTGTTCTATGTTTGCACTATCCAATATAGTAGTTACTGGCCACATGTGGTTATTGAGCATTTGAAATGTGGCTAGTGTGCCTGAAGAGCTACATTTTTTTATTTCATTTTCTTCTAATTAACTTAAATTTAAATAGCCACAGAGATAGTGGCTGCCCTAATGGACAGCACACATACAGAGGAAAATTGAAGACTGACTAATGGAGGACGAGATTGCCCAGACGGACTGCAGACTGAGAAGGGCAAAAAGTCTAAAAGAGAACTGAAGGTAATAAATGAGCGTTTCAGGGATGGGAAGATAAATATGATTAGAAAGAGTCATCAAGATAAAGTAAGAACCCAGCATATTAAAAGACAGTAGAGAATAGAGTTGCAAAATGGGAAGATAAACAGCGTCAAATGCTGCTTAGGAGTCAAGCAGAATGAAGATTCTACAGGGGCAATGATTTATTCTTGCAATATTTATAAAATAGGCATTAAAAGATACCCAGAAGCATGTCGTCCTCAAAGGGATATAAAATACTTTGAAACTTACGGTTTGTTTTTAAAAAAGCATCTGAGATTTTGTCTCTGAAAGTGAAAGTTCTCTTCTATTTGAATTAGTCGGCATATGGTATATTTTCAAACAGGTGTTTGAAAACAAGCAACTTAATTCAGTCAATGCTTTGCCTGGTAACTGGATGCTAATGAGTACTTTTAAAGTAACCACTTGTTTGATCACATTTAACTATTTGGAGTCTTTTCAAAGCAATTTACGTGCTGTGTGGAGCTAGCTATAAACTTGTCTTGAGGATGGATGTGGAAACTGTATTCAGCAAAAAGAACAGAGTAATAACACGGACATTTTCTTGACCATCTATTGAAGTCACCAAGGCCTGGGCTGTGCATCTCTGAAAGGAAAGCCCTTTGAGATCAATGCCTATGGCTTTCAAGCATCGCTGGAACTCTTTTTGAGTTGTTCATCTGCCACTTCTTTCCTTGACTAGTTTGAACTCTTTACAATTTCACGTAAAATCCCCACGGTTCACTAACTTTTAAAGAGCAATATTTCTTCCCCACCTCATTTTGTGACAACTCACACAATTGAAGCCACACAATTGAAATATCTTGTCTTGAGCTTGAGAGCTTTCAGTTGAGTAGAAAATAAGCCACATGGAACTATCCTCAAAAGCATTCAGATTAGCTTATTGTGGAACACTCATTCAGAGGGAAATACAAATGCAGACGTTTTAATTCACTATCCAGTCGCTCCTAAGTGATATGCCCAGAGAGCTCTGTTTAGTAGGCATAGCTCAAAAATCTGTTTTCTTATTTCCCAAGAGTATGCGCCCCAATAGCCTCTCTATACCTCTCATGGTCTTCCCTGGTGATTTACTCCAACTGTTGTCTGACCCTGACTAATTCAAGCCCTTTTCTTACAAACACCAGCTTCACAAAAGCACCGGGTTTTGACAATTTGAAGTGCCTCTTTCAGCAGAAATATTACCATGCCCTCTGCAGTGTACAAACCGGAGTAACATGTGTTAATCTTTCTGCAAAGCAGAACCTCATATTTGAGGTGTTCCCCTGGGGCCTTCACAGAGAGAGGCTAGTGGATGTGAAGATTTAAAGATAAAAAGATATTCACTGTACAGGTGATGAAAGGATCGGACAGAAGGTCACCCAGAAGCTACTACTGCTTCCCAATATGCAGTTACAAAGACACAGAAATAGTAGTCTCTCAATAAATGGTTCTCAAAGTTTCTCTGGTGAAAATATGTCTAAAATAATATCATCAAGCTCAAGTGCAACTGGTATGAATTTTCATCAGTACATTTCAAGGCTAGTAACTTTTAGTTTTATTTTTTTAGAATCAAATAAATCTAGTTTAGTACCCATCTGTTAAAATTGATAGAAAATTTAATCTCAGCAGTGTTTTGGGAGACTCCCCCCAACTTGAGATTATACAGGAGACAGAAGGGCTATTCAGTACATAAAATGTAATGATGAGCCTCTGTTCTCCAATGCTTCATGGTCCTTGCTCAGACCAGCCTACTTCACTCAAACTCAGGTGGCTCTCTCTTCCTATCATGCCAAGCTTAAGCATAGAAACTTCACTGAGCACCCAAGCTAAAGCTACTAATGTCCATCCATACCACGTAGCCATCTCCCCTTTGGATATCTGCACGGAAACAGGGAACATGGAACTTCTACTCATGAAATTTGCTACCAAAATTAAAACCTAACCCAATTTGGAAACCTTAGGCAAATCCACTGAGTATCCCACATTAAGCCATTCCTCACTTTTGGTCTAGGCATCAGTTTCCATCTCCTAAAGTCCAGCATGATTTCTTGAGGCATCTAACATTGAAACATACAAATTCTTAACTGGGAGAAAAGGATTTGGAAGAGCAGCTCAGCATTTGAGGCTCAACCATATCAAACTGGATGTTCTCTTTTTTAACAAATATTTTGTAATACTCAATTTACTGCCATGAAAAGAAAGCCACACTCTGCATACTTACATAATTAAGGTAAAAATATGATACAATGCCAGAACTATATCATAAAAGATAAGTTCAAGGAAAGAAATTAATAATGAGTGAACGCATTTTAGGTTAAGTAATAATGGGCTAGATGGATTTTTATGTGATAAGAGCAAACAAAGAGAAAACCATTGTTGCAATGGCCATAATTATGGCCAAACAAATTACACACTTCAAGATGAGAAAAGGAACAAACGTGTGATTCTTGCAAATGAGTTTGTCCCCATTTTTATGAGTTATGATATAGGACAAGAAGGTATGAGTTATCATGAAAAACACATCTTCTAATTTGAAATCCCATCACATGTCGAGGTATACGTTATGGTCTCTAATAGATAAATAAATCTTAGATAACATATCTTTCAACAGACAATGAGAGAATAAAGGATATATTAGAAAAGGAACCTAATAAGATAAGTTCTAGAGTGGTTATAATCGACCTCAGGGGACAGGATCAGAATAAGATTGAAAACAAATAGGCAACCCAAAAAATTAAATGAAAATTTCCATATGAAATGTTTACAACTACTATATCTAATTGGCCTAATGATGTATTACAATAATAGTAATAATATTCTTAAAACAACATTTATTGATGAAAATCAGTGATATCACTGCAATTCATAATTCTGCAAATTTGATAATATTTTTACTTTTAGATCCATTGAATGGACTTCAAAGTAAAAATTTATTTTTTATCAATTCTCAGATACAGGTGCCTCAAATAGGTCTAGCAGAACCCCTATTAATGTTAAAGTTTGTGATATGGTTAACAACTCTTGACAAAATTCCAAACAAAACTAAGGACAGACTTTCCCTATTTTACATGGAATTTTGCATCTCCAAAAAATTTTAATGGTTATTAAAATGTGCAACAAATACTTTGGGTTTCTATGTAAAATTGAAGTTGTTTTCAAACTCAGCTAAGTATTAACAGCTTTTATACATAAAATAATGTCTGCTGGGATATTCCAAAATAGTGCAGAAAATAGTATGAGTCTTCTTTTTCCAAAGCCTGTTCCAGCATTGCAGAACATCTCGGCTGTCTGGCCACTAGTCACTGAATGCTTGCAGTTTTCTGTAATCCCTGTGACAGCCAAAAATAAAAATAAAAATAAAAATAAAAATCACTCCAAGATACTTCCAATGTGCTTCCTGTGTGCGGGGGAGGGGGTGTTCTACTCCAGCTTAGAGCCAGCGTGGGTCACAAGACACAAGACTTGAGTGTAGAAAGAAATATTACCTTTTGATTTTTCAAATTTCTGACAACAAGAACAAAATATCAGCATTTCAATAAACCATAGATATTCTCATTTCACAAGTTATGGAAATAATGAAAGGAATAATGGAAACCCCTAGACTTTATGCCAAGTTAAGCATATCCAGAAAGAAGTAAGCTTTCTTCTCCATTCCAGCTTATCTACCCATTCCTACATTTATACTGTGGACTCTGTCAGTACCTAAAGCTATGCTGCCACTGAAAGCATTGATTCAAATATGTCTTTCTTGAACACTATCTCTAACCCTTCCAGCTAGCTTAAAGGATCCCAATTGTGTTAAATTAGTCCCTACTTACTGTGACATTCAGTCCATTCATTTCTCTACTTTCTCCCTATTGATCAGTCCTCGACTTCCTTCAGAGTCCTCTTTATCCAGCTTAGATTCCGTGTTCCATCAATTAGTATTCCATCAATAATACTATTGCCATTATTCTAACCTTCTTACTCATCTGTCACTGTGCTTATTTGGCAAAACCCAAAAAGAGCTAAACTCAAATATCTACCCTTTCCCTCCCTGCAGTGAGAAATTCCAAGCCTGCAGGAGAAAATCCTAAAATACTGCAAGTTTGTTTTACAATAAATTCATGGTCACCAACCTTAAATAAATCAATCCTCAACACTGCTACACATTCCTATTATGCCCCTTTTCTCAACTGATGCTTCCACTCTTTCCAAGGTCTATGTCAAGCATAATTACCCTCTTCCAAAGCTCTGACTCCACCTCCCCTTTTTTAGTGTGCAAAATGATCTTGTTCCTTCCCTCACAAGGGAAATAGATGCAGACAAAAAGTCCTTCAGTTTCTGCCTATTTCTTGTTACAAACCCACCTATATCTGCTCCAGTCTTTTCCTTCCTCTTTCTCATTACAGTAGAGGTTTCCTTCTTTAGTCAGAAACAATTCATACAAATCTCTCTCCAAATATGTTTCCTCTGTTACTTGTTTGTACATTCTCATGTATATTTACTTTGTAACCCATTCCAATCTGTTTCAGGTTCTTACTCCTCCCCTCAAATCACTTTTGTCTATGTCATCAGTGCCTAATTGATAAGTTCTGGCTACACCATATACTTTGGATGAGTTAGCCTGCCTCCAAGATTTAGGTTGTCATTGATAAAAGTGCAGAAATAATATTCGTTTTGTAGAGTTGCTGCAAAGATTAAATGATATAATATTAATGAAATCATTAGAAAAATATCTGAAACAGAGTATAAACTCCATAAACATTATCTCTTTCCAGTAGTAGTAGTATCAGCACCAGCAGCAGCCGCAGTAGTAGTAATATTAATAAATCCAGTAAGTGATCCTTAGTTCTCCTGTGTGACTTCTCAGCACCCTTGACTCCGTTAACCATGCAAAATACTGGCTTTCTGCCCTGTAGATTTATGCGACTGGCTTTATGATGCCATGATACTCTCTATAATGCCTCAATGATATGTGCTGGTTTTGTCAGATGCATTCTTTCTATTTTATCTTTGTTCTCAGAGTGTTGTGGCAACACAGAGAGTGTCTTAAGCCCCTCTGAGAGAAAATTTCACCAACTGTTTTAGTCTTTCTGGAAACGGGATGCTGAGCGGTGGCATATTTTTTGTTCGATGCTGTTGTACTCTGCATTCTCAACTCATCCTCAGCAACTCAGAGACTTCAGAGTTTAGTCATTTGGTACAAAAGACATGTGAGCTGTACATAATATATTGCAGCTCCTTAAGGGTAGAAACTATGACTCATTCCTCTGTATACCCTATGGCATGGAACAGGATGCTTAACATATACTAGGTCTCAATAAATGTGCTTTGAATAGAACTAAAATTGGAAAGAACAGGCTGAATACTCAACTTGACATTCACTAAAGTACGTTTTCATGCTTAAGATTTAAACTGATCTTTACAAGGCTTTCTCTTGCTGATTAAGCATCCATTTGCTAAAATGCTGTCTTTCCTTTTCTTGGTAGCTAACATTGACAGTGTTTCCCATCAGTCCTCTTTATAGAGAATCTATCGCCTGAAATAATTAGTATACTCATCAGTCTTGTTTAGATATTGCCATCCCTAGCTGGCAATTTCCATTTTAGAGAATCAGCAAAAGGCT